>NC_000001.11:50311410-50462925 GCF_000001405.40 Homo sapiens | reverse complement strand
ATATAACTTTGTTTTTTAAGATATTCATGTCTCAAATTCACTTCTGGAGTTTACTGCTAGATATGTAAGGGGACCTCTATAAACAGGGAAACTTCCCACCTTCGAACATAACTTAGTCCTGTAGCAAAGGGTATAAAAGTAGTCTCAGAAGAATCCTAACAAGCACCAATCAACCTGTATTTTCAAAGGAGATTTTCAAGACATCATGAGGGAAGCACAATCCCTAGAGATAGCCATCACCTAGTTTGTAGAGTATCAGCGTGTTCAATGCAAATTTGCCCCAGATTCTATAATGGTCTGCTCCGAACCCCTACGGTTGTCCTTGAGCCTGCAGCCACTTTCCCACACTGCCTAGGGAGAATACTTTCTTCAAATTGGCTACTTTAAAAAGGGGAGGAGTTGTTGATATTTATTTTTCTTGCTTGTTACTATAAACAAATACAGATCAACACTGTAAGGATGATTTATTTAATATTACCTCTCCTCAGTCACATTTCATAGGCATTGTAGACTGAATCAAGAAAACACACAGGTTGTGGAGTCAAATGGATCAACTCTTCACTGAGTGATCTTAGGTTACTTAATTTCTTGGTAAAATGGAAGTAGCAATACCTGCTTCAGAGGCATGTAGTGAGCATTTAAAAATCGATATAAAATGTTTCATTCATATATATGTGATTTCCTAGGAAGATTCGTAGGACTCAGCATATAATTATGCTCAGGGCTATGAGTTCCTAGAGCAAAAGGATACAAAGCAGAATCAGCAAGGAGAAAAGGTACATGGGCAAAGTCCAGGAGAAACCAGGCACAACCTCCCAAGTTTTTATATATATGTGTGTGTGTATATATATATATAAAATATTGATATGTTATATATTGGTATTAATATATAATATAATATATAAAATATATATAATGTATATAATATATATAAAATTAACACAGGGTAAGAATCTAATAGTATAGCTGGTGTGATGGTAATGGTGATTATTTTTCTCCCCAACCCCATTCCCTCCTTCCTCTTTTTTTTTTCTTTTTTTTTTTCAGTGTTTTGGTTTCAAGAAGACAAAGAATCTTTGTCCAATATCAACTGTTTGGAAACTACCAGTTTTCAAGTAAAGATATCAAACAATGTGCCTTACATGCCTAATAACAAAAGATTGAGAGTGGTGTTCAATTAGAAATATCTAGAGTTTAACATTTGTCTTCTGTTTTACCAAACCAGCAGATTTCTTTCATAATTGGAAATATTCCTGAGTTACTTTATGGTGTTTTTCCTAGTGTGAGAGACAGGCGTATTTCCTCATAGAGATTTTTTACCTCATTTATGTCAGGGCCCTCTGGGAATTGCTCTGTATAAGTTCATTTAGGGCAGCAGCTATACTGTCTTATTTGCCTTTGTACCCTCAGTTTCTGGCACAGTACTTACACAGGTCTAGCACAAAGTAGAGGCTCGCTGAGTTGTGGGTAGGTAGATGGATAGATAGATGAAGAATGACAGGTATACACTTTGAAGGGTGTGATGATAATTACAACACAGTCTTGTCTATAAGGGCCAACCAAGTGTGGCAGGGCAGATACGACAGGAGAAGATCATCCTGGCAGACTTGAGGCACATACTGCCAAGCTAGATACAACATGAAAAATACACAGATTTGGCTGAATAAAAAGTCCTCTATCAGTGGTGCAGACTGTAATAATACACCTGAGGTTAAGAAATTAGAATATTATTCTATAGGCTGTGGGGAGCTATTGGTTTTAGAACTGGGAAATACAGTTGATTCCCATTATTCACAGTAGTTATATTGTATAATGTTGCCACAAACACTGAATTAGTGGATACTCAACCACTGTTCCTAGGGGAAATACAGGGTTAAGTTCTTGTGAGCCTCTCGTCACATTTTCATCAACCACTCGGTACATAACTTTGTTATATATGTTATGTGTGTTTCTATTTAGAGGCACTTTACTTAGGCCACGTGCTGTGGCTCACACCAGTAATCCTAGCACTTTGGGAGGCCAAGACAGAAGGAAGGCTTGAGCCCAGGAATTTGAGACCTGCCTGAGCAACATAGTGAGACCCTTTCTCTGCACACACACACACACACACACACACATATACAAATACTTAGCTGGGCATGGTGGTGCATCCTGTAGTTCCAGATACTTGAGAGTGAGGTGGGAGGATCACTTCAGTCTGGGAGGTTGAGGCTACATTAAGCTGTGATCGCACCACTACACTCCAGCCTGGGCTAGAGAGCCAGGCCCTGCCTCAAAAAAAAAGTGTGTGTATATACACAAACACACACACACACACACACACATATATATACATACACACACACATACATGCATATATGTAAAGACACATTAATATATACTGTTGGTTCATTAACATTGAATTCATAGCTAATAGTCCTAAAACTCGTGCCTGAATGAAGCTTATCTAACACACATATTTTTCTCCACAAGGCACATCACAGCCCTCCTTTACTTAGGAACACTAGACAGCACTTCAGCACTATGATTGGGAACCATTTTAAACAGGAAAATCACTAACAAAAAGCACACAAATGTGAAAAACATGACACTAAATATACTGCAAAAAAAGACATTTTGAAAACAGAAAGAAAGGAATGGGCATTTGCCAAGCAGCAGAAATGTGAACAAAATCATAGAAATATAAATCAGTATGATATGTTTGGGGAATTGCATACAGTTTTCTGTGATTGGAATTTAGGCTATGAGGTCAGGTATAAAGGGAAATAAAATAAGAGATGAAAAAATATGGAAGAGTTTTCTACGCATTAATCCAACAGATATTTTTGAGCACCTGTTATGCACAATACATTTGGGACATGGTAGTGAATACTTCTATGAAGAACTATACATGGAAAAATGAGTATATTCTATGCATAGTGCTCCACAGAATTCTTTACTACTATACGTCCACTAATTGAGGACAGAATTCTTGCCCTCATAAAACCATTTATAATGCTAGTTTGTTGGTAGGTATTAGGCCCTATGTTAAAAATGAAAGATTGAACTTAGAGCTGCCAAGCGGCTTATACAAATTGACCTAGCTAAGTTGCAGAGCAGTGGCTTCACCTAGGTCTTTTGATTCTACATTTCTGCCTTTTCCCCACTTCTCAACACTGTTGATTATTCTGATTAGGAAGGATTAAAGTAGTGAAAGCCTGGAAAAGGGAGACCAGATATGACTATTGCACTAGAAAATTAAACAGGCTGTGGGAGACAGTACTAAGATGGCAACAATTTGGGATGAAGAGAAGACAACAGAATCAGGAAGAAGGAAGGATCAGTGGGATTTAATAATTGGCTGTGTCAAGGTTGCGGGAGGATAGGAAGTTTTCAGAGGTGACTTAGAGGTCTCCAGCCTGAACAACTAAAAAGATGGTATAGTACCATAAGCAAAAATCAAGGAAGATAAATGGAGAGGCAGGTTCACTTTGGGATTTGTTGAGTCTGAGGGACCAGGAGAAAGTCTAGGTGGTACTTTCTAGCAGAGAATAGAGATTTAAACTGTGAGGATGGCTCAACACCAGAAAATGCCCCTGGCAGTGACTGGAGCAGATTTGAAGATAAGCCATAGAGAGACTTTATTGGGTAGTAGTTAAAAGACTGAGTTCTGGGCCAGGCATGGTGGCTCATACCTGTAATCCCAGCACTTTAGAAGGCCAAGGTGGGAGGATTACTTGAGCTCAAGAGTTTGAGACCAGCCTGAGCAATGTAGCAATACATCGTCTCTACTAAAAATAAAAAAAAATTAGCCAGGTGTGGTGGCACATGCCTGTAGTCCCACCTACTCAGGAGGCCGAAACAGGAGGAACACTTGAGCCTGGAAGGTTGAGGCTGTAGTCAGCCATGATAGTGCCATTGCACTCCAGCCTGGGTGACAGAACAAGACTCTGTCTCAAAAAAAAAAAAGAAAAAAAAAAGGGCAGGGCAGGGGAGACTGAGTTCTGGAGTCCCAGACTAAATCTCATTTTTACCATTTCCTAGGTGTTTGATCTTGTGTAAATTACTTAGCCTCTAGGTAGCTCAGTTTCCTCGCTGTAGGATAAGGATAATGATAGTACGAAATTCATAGAGCTGTTGTAAAAATGAAATGAAGTGTTACACATAAAGCACTAGCATAGTAAATGCTCAGCATTTCTAAGCTATTATGATGAAATTGATGGCAAAAAGAGGAAACAGTTGCTAAACCACAGACATATTGAGGGAACCAGTGGCATTTTATGAGAAAACCCATCATTGTATGCGTCTGACCAGATGAAAGAAGTGCACAAAGGAATTTTTTAAATGTGTTTGAGGTTATTACAGCCATTTCAGATGAGCTGCGTAGAATTCAGAGCCTTAAAAATTTTGCCCTTACCGCTTTCTAACTTATTTACAGAGGACTTGGAATGGTGGGGAGCGATGACAATGAATATAGCTATTTCTTTTTGTGCCTATTGTATGCCAGGTATTAGTTCCCTGAAAGATAGATATTGTCTCCATTTTACAAATAAGAACACTGAAGCTCAAAGAGTTTAAATTTCTCAATATTGTCCAGTAAGTGTCAATATCAATATTTGATTCTCAAAACCCAGGTCCTTTCCCCATACTATGCTGAACATAAAATGGAGTGACTATTACTGTTTATGTATATTGATATACTTAAACCTTTTCAAAATTATTATTACTATTTTGAGACAGAGTTTCACCCTTGTTGCCCAGGCTGGAGTGCAATGGCTCAATCTCAGCTCACTGCAACCTCTGCCTCCCAGGTTTAAGCAATTCTCCTGCCGCAGTCTCCCAAGTAGCTGGGATTACAGGCATGCACCACCATGCCTGGCTAATTTTGTATTTTTAGTAGAGATGGGGTTTCTCCATGTTGGTCAAGCTGGTTTTGAACTCCCGACCTCAGATGATCCACCCACCTCAGCCTCCCAAAGTGCTGGGATTAAAGGTGTGAGCCACCGCGCCCGGTCGATAACCTTTTCAAAATTATTTACCCTTCCCCAAATAAACTTTTACCTTTTTTTTTTTTTTTTTTTGGAGACAGGGTCTTACTCTGTCACCCAGGCTGGAGTACAGTGGTGTGATCACAGCAGCCTCAACCTCCCCAGTAGCTGGGACTATAAGTGCACACCACCATGCCTGGATAATTTTTGTATTTTTTTTTTTTTTTTTTTTTTGCAGAGATGGGGTTTCACCGAATTGCCCAGGCTGGTCTCAAACTCCTGACCTCAAGCAGTCTGCCTGCCTCAGACTCCCAAAGTGCTGGGATTACAGGCATGAGCCACCACACCTGACCAAGAAATCAAATAAGCTTTTGAAGGCTGTACATACAATCTAATCTGATTTTATCCAGCCATAAATTAAAAATTGTTAGTTCTGTGCTCCGTATTCTAGTTGCTTTCGCAGACACGCTTTGCTCACTTAAAGTCTGTATAATAACCCCATTGTAAACACAAACAACTGCAAATGTGTATGTGCGCAGATTAACCTTTTCTAGACACTCCTTGTAATTTTCAAAGCCAGTACTGGAGTTCTAGAGTGCATTAGCACATGCATCAAATGGTAGATTCCCCAGGACCTCACCGCAGTGCCAACTGCAGCCCCAGCCTACTTCACCAAAACCACACCCTGTTCTTCGTCCAGAACCAGGACCTCAAGCCTTCAGGTTTAATGTCTAAATCTGAATCTTCAGGTTTGGCTGAATCCCAAACCTGAAGATTCTTTTGCTATTTCCATTTTTTTTTTTTTTTCACTTTCCCTCCTCTAATTGGCTTTATGTGAGACCTTGTGTGAACAAGCCTTCCTCATGCATGCATTCTTTACTGTGAAAACTAGGGGAAAAAAACCTATTTTCTAGATGAAAAAACTGAGATGCAGAAATGGGAAGTAACTTGCCCAAGGCTTAGGAAAACCAAAAGCAGAAATGGCTGGTTCAAGTTTACATAGTCACAAAGTGAAGGTAAGATATACATTTTTTAAACAAAAAATTGTACACACGAAGTTTGAGACAAGGAGGAAAGAAAAATGTGGAACTAATTGACACCCTAGGGCTGAGCCAGGCATTTGCCTTCCTTGTAGTTTCCTGGTACCCTTTTCCCTCTTGTGGCCCTTTACTGTTCTGAATTTCAGTGTTCTAAATTCTTTTCTTGTCAGCATTCTGCCCTAGACTGTATACTCCTGAGAGCAGAAATAGTGTCTTGTTTACTATTATAATCCAGGACCTAGCATGGTTTCTTACATGTAGTAAACACTCCGAAAATACTTGTGTAGTAAATAAATTAGAAGAAATAAAATGTTCCCAGCTATTCATCCACTATTTTTGTTTGTTTGGTTGGTTGGTTTTATATTTTCCATCTTACCAGTCAGAAACTCATGGTATCTTCATAGCTTGAGGACAGGCAAGTGAGAGGCCACATTATAGTGACATTCCTGGTTTCTTTCTCTCTCACCCTCCCCTTACCTCCTCCTTACGGTGGTCTTGGAAGTAACACTCCCAAGTTTGGGGGAGGAGGCATGGCAGGAGCATGGAGTTTCTAGAACTCAAGCACCAGAAGTGACCCATCTGATTAAAATTTTCAGATGTGTTTTTATAGCCAGTTGTCAGCCTCTCATTTTGACATCTCCAGCAAGACATTCTTAGAAGATTGTGGGTGGCACAAGCCTGCAGTGTAGTCCCTGCTACTCAGGAGGCTGAGGCAGGAGGATAACTTGAGCCCAGGATTTCCAAGCTGTAGTGCACTATAATTGAGCCTGAATAGGCCACTGCACTCTAGCCTAGGCAACATAGTGAAATCTCATCTCTAAAAAAAAAAAATTTTTTTTTGTTTAAAGCAGGGTCTCACTCTGTCGCCCAAACTGGAGTGCAGTGGTGCCATCTCAGCTCACTGCCATCTCCGCCTCCCAGGCTCAAGCGATTCTCCTGCCTCAGCCTCCTGAGTAGCTGGGATTACAGGTGCATGCCATCTACTGCCCGGCTAATTTATGTGTTTTTAGTAGAGACAGGGTTTCACCATGTTGGCCTGGCTGGTCTCGAACTCCTGACCTCAAGTGATGCACCTGGCCCCCAAAATTTTTTTAATCAAAAAAACAAAAGTGAGAAGAATGTAGTGCAGTAGGAAGGGGGTTAAGCTGGGAACCATGTCTCCTGGGGCAAAATTTTAATTCTTCTAGCCACTTGTTATGTGATCTCAAGCAAGGTACATACGTCTCTGGGTCTTTTTTTCTTTATCTAAAATATGAAGAGATTAAGTGTTTTCTTAATTTTCTTTCAGCTCTGATATTATGTGATTCTGTGATTAAATGACCTGGATGTTGATAATACATGCCCCATTGACAACTCTCTTCCGAAAACTAGAACAAAACCATTGGCTTCCTGGTCCTACTGGCTTTATTTAAGATCATCTTCTTTCCTTTTATATGACAGTGTCTCTGTCCCAGGCAGTTTATGAGGAGTTAAGCTTTTATTTACTGTAGCTGGAGGCTTCTATAAGCCAAGGCTTTGACAATATTTCACATTTATTTATCTGAGCTAGAGCTTAGGATCAGGTGGCAGCTAAGTCACCTAAGGTTATTCAAATGCATTGAAAATGTTGCTTAATAATTCAGAACCAGTTTTCTCTGTTTAGAGTATTAAGATTTTTTAAATCCTTCTAATTAGCCAATTCCAACAGCAGTTTAGGGAAAATTCTGTCCCCTCTGAAAGGGCAACTGATGCAGACTTACTGTCAGCCCCTGTATCTGTGTAGCAGAACTGACAGAAGCTAGAGCCAGAGAGCTTCCAGAGCCAAGGGAGCTGCTGGAATGACCTGCTGATGGTATCACCAACGGAGTCTGCCTGCTGTAGGAATGAGGCTGGGGGAAGAGGTCTGAGGATGCAGCTCCTCTAGACTCCATTTCTTTGAATTCATGGAGGCTCTAGGGAGGAGTGGGGAGTTTCCATTTAGTCATTCAGTAGATCAGTCTTTCAGCAAACATGTAGTGAACTTACACTGTTTCCAGCAGTATGCTAGGACCTGGGGATAGGTAGCCAGTAAAATCTCTTATGTGCCCTCAGAATTCAACCTGGCTGGAGAGACAGACTCATAAACAAATAATCAAAAGGCACAACAGATAACTCAGTGTGAAACTGTGGCTGATCCCTTGAGCTAGATCCTCTAGGATCTCTTGCCTGGTCAAAGTATAAGAATGCTGTTTTAGCAAAAGACAGGGTTGGCATTGCCAGTACCTGCATTCCACTTTAAACACTGACCTTATGTCAGCCAGCAGACCTTGGCAACTGCCTTGTCTGAGGATCCTAAGGTGAAATAAAGGTATTAGTCCGGTAAACATGGATTGACCACATGCAGGATAATGGGATAGGCATATGAGGGAGAGACCACAATGAACATATATGGTCACTGTGTTCCATGAGCCGATGGCCTAGTGAATGATTCCAGCTATGATTAACTCTGTTACAGGAATAGGAGAAAGATTAATTTAGGCTCTGTCACTCAGGCCTGATTTTATGGAGAAAGTAGCATCTGAGCTGAGCCTTGAAGGACATATAGGTTGGGACAGGTAGAACTGGAGAGGGAGGACAGTCTAGGTGGAGGAAACAACATAGCAAAGGTTCAGGGAGGAAAAGCACAAGACATATTTGAGGAATAGCAAACTGCTCTAATTGTCTGGCACATAGGGTCTATGAGAGGATAATATTTAGAGATCAGCATAGTAAGCAATGTTGGGGCCAAGCCCCTACCCCCTGTTCGAAAATTTAGACCCAGATTTCACTTATTTGATGTATTTTTTGAGAGAAAATATTTTGCCACTTCTAAAATGTTGTTACTGTGATAAGCTGTGATGATGCTCATAGCAGGTCCATAAGGTGGTACACCAGACAGATATCAACATCCTTGTTTAACAGACAAGGAATCTCAGAGGACAAAAAGTGACTTGTCCTAGAGCACACAGGTAATCAGAGCAGTATGCTAGGGTCAGGAGGCAGGTTTGCAGTTCCCCAAATGATGCTTGTTCTCTGACTCCCCTCCCCAGCTCTGAGCCCTGACCCTTTGTGGATATGGCAACTAAACTGATAGGGAATACGCATGAAGAAAAGGCTGGCCAGGTAAAATGCATATCTCCAGCCACCTTCAAGTACCACTTTCCTAGCATCCTCTCTTCCTAAATACTTTTCTTTCTCATCATGGTGCTTTTGCTTAAGCCCAGGAGTTTGGGAATTTTGGGTATAGGTTTGGTATTGTACAGGCCGCTGCTGGACCAGCCTTCAAAGAAAACACGTGCTCTGTTCATGATTCTTGCCTTCCAGTTTTATAAGCTTTTGGGTAGATGAAATGTACTATCAAAATAGCTCAGAGAGAGCCTTGGTAACATTTAAGATATTGAACGTGCTGCATCTGGTAACTAGAAAATTTAATGATCTCCTGCTGTTTTGGTAATTGGATAAGTAAATACATCAGAATAAATCACACCGGCAAGTCTTTTGTATGTCGTTAGGGACTAAACTCTTTTAACTCCTGTTCAAAGCCCCAGCTCTTGAGTGGTGTTTGCGTGCAGAGCAATGCACACACCAGCTCGCATGGCCCTGCTTGGATATTAAAATTCATTCAAAATGCTCACTTTCTCCCTAGCCCACTGGGCCTGAGGAGCACATGTAGCCCACCACTCCAGATCTCTCTGAAGCCAAGGAGAAAAGATTTTTTCAGAAGTTTAAATGATAACCTAATAAGGTATTTGAGCTCTTAATGATCTATGTCCAAACTGTCTTTCCAGCCACGTCTTTCATTGAAGTCCTGCTAGGAGCCTTCTCAGAAACACTACCGTGTACAAACTGGGAAAGTGAGGCCAAAGCAAAAGGGAACTATCCTGTTTTGGCAAGGAGTCATTTAAGAACTTTGAGAAGGAGCAGGACAGGATCAGACATTTTGTTCAACTCTCACTAGTGGAAGTGTGAAGGAGATAGACCCAGAGGGATGTGGTCTATTAAGAGACCATGTGGTGTTGGGTGATGTTGTCACCAACTTACAGATGAGAAATTTGGATCTTATCTCATGGTAAGAGGTTAAATGACTTACTCAAGAGCACACATGCAGTGCTAAGATTTAAATCCACCAGTGCTTTTTTTTACTGCCTCCCTAATTAGCACTTAATCCATGCCTACTAGTGAAACTCTGAGGCTAACAATAATCAGGATCTCTCAGAAGGCTTTTAAGCTAACTTAACAGTTCTAAACCTAACCAGAAAACAGGTGTCTCCCCTTTCATTTGTCTCTTAATGTCTTGTTCCAAACACAGTGGTTAGCATTATGGACCAACCTTTTATACAAGGTCCTGGCTGCTTCCGTGGTATTGGCCTTGGAAAGTGAGGCATGTCCCCTAACTCAGTGATTCCCAGCCTTTTTCAAGTCACCACACACATTGAAAATGGTGTTTGTGTGTCTTACTGGAGAACCATACTAGGCTGCTCAGAGTCAGAAGCAACCCAGCTCTGAGGTTCCTGGCTGCCCCAAGAGTTGAGAAGAATCAGTATCTTAGCATACCTGTAAGCTGGGCACACTGCTGGGGCTCATCTGCATTAGGTTTATCTTGCCACACTACAGAATCTTCACTTATGAATTTGCCTGTGTCCAGTTTATGCTTTCAGGGGCAATGAGCTTGCAAATTGTTCTGTAAAGCGGGACTTTCTTTTATTTGCTTGAAATTATGTCTTCCAGATTCCAGGACTTTCCAGGATGGGGAAACATGCCTGTTCTCGTTCTTTGTATATTCATTTTATGTTCTTTATTCTCATTCTGAAGACTTGGATCATCTCCTGTTTTTAGACTAAGACGGTTTTTTCCTCCCCATTCCATTCTTAATAGAATCCCCTCTGGGCCTTCCCCACTTATATTGTCATTTAATAGTATAGTGACCAAAGCCACCATCAAGGATACCACTGCAAGGAGAAGGTTACAGCTTTTGTTTGGTGCCCAGGGTGTCCCCGACAGTGTGCCAAGTTTGAGACCATTTTAACATTATAATACCTTAGAGCTGGTGTCTTCACTAAACAGTCCATCTAAAGGCATAGGCTAGGAATGAAGAATCCAGATTTGCCATGAATGCTGAATAAACTTGGGTAAGTTCTTTCCACTCACTGGGCTTTTCTGTCCCCATATGCTACAGAGATGACCTCTAAAGACCCATCCAGCTCTAACAATTACTAGCTCTGTCATAATTGAATGACTAAATTTCACCCAAATGCCTAAGGTAATAATACACTCTGTTATGGGGGAAATATGCATTTCAGTTACACGAAGGGTACAGTCCTCCCAAGCAAGGGACTTAGAATAAATAGTCTAGTACATGACTACAATACTAAAATAATCTACTGTGGTGGTTAAGAACACAGATTTGAAGTCAGACCTAGTTTTAAATCCTTGCTCTGCCACTTCCTGCCTGTGCATTCTTAGGCAGATTATATAATCTCGCTGAGCCTCTTGTCCTCATTTTTAAAGTGGAGGTAATATACCTCCCTCATAGAGTTGTATGAGTGCTTATACAGCACTTAGCACAGTTAGCACCTAGTAAGCTCCCAATAAATGTTAGCTCTTGTTACCATTATTATAATTTAATAAAACAAAGAACAAACAGGGCAGCCTACAAGGCACAATTTCTATTCCTCTCTTACTTTAATCTTTTCTCCCCTTGTTCTTCCTTTAATTTTTCTTTCATTCTCTCTTTCCCACCTTAAAAACGTCATCAAAGGAAGAAAATGTCCTCGACACCTATGCTTTGCAGCCACAGACACCCACCCAGCCTCACTCTCTAGCACCCCAGTTGATCTGTCACAGTTCAGTAATGAAAAGAGGAGCATCTGTCACTGTTTCCTGGAAGCCCTCACCCCAGTGCCACTTCTTTCTTGTGGTCCAGTGAGACAGACTGGCCTAGCAATTGCATAGGAAGCTGAGATAAACCATAGAGTAGTCTCATAGTGGGACCCTTCCAGATTGGAAGTTTCATTTTGGGGTGTGTTACCACCTGCAGCAAAGGTAAAGAAGAAATTGCTAAGAGGTACAACTGACATTGTTGTCATAGTTGTTTATAATAATTATTATTAATAATTGTAATCCCTTATGTTGCAAAGGACTTTATTATTACCAAAGATTTTTTTATACCCTGACTCAGCATATGCCCAGCAATTCCCCTAAGTTCCCCCTCTGATACTTTGTGGGTATAACTGCTTTCTTTAGGGATTCCTAGCTCATCAAAAGGTGATTAAAGAAAATAGACGATTAGTTGTTAGGACTAAGTTGACAGTAACAAAAGACAGCTTGAGTTCCTGTTTGGAACACCAAAGCCCATTAGGGACATAAGCCATGACATAGCAGCAGAGTGCAGCATTTTTTATGCCCAACAGAAAGCCAGTTAGTCATGTTAACTGTCCTCCGTTTAGAAGTAGGTCAGAAGTTGAGAGGCAGTGAAGGGTAATGACTGGATATAGGCTGGAAGCTCACAAACCAGGGTACAATTCTGGCCTTCTCTTTCCTAGCTATGTAATCTTGAGCAAGTCTCAGAACCATTTTTGACCTCAGAGAATTCATCTGTAAAATTGAAATAATAGGAGTACTTATCTCATAGAATTGTTGGGACCATTTAATTAGATAATATATAGAACAACTAGCCTAGTGCCTAGCACCTAACACCAAATGAATGGTAGCTTTTTTTTTTTTTTTTTGAGATGGAGTCTTGCTCTGTCACCCAGGCTGGAGTACAGTGGCATGACTGTGGTTCACTGCAATCTCTGCCTCCCAGGTTCAAGCAATTCTCTTGTCTCAGCCTCCTGAGTAGCTGGGATTACAGTGTGCACCACCACGCCCAGCTAATTTTTGTATTTTTAGTAAAGACAGTATTTGACCATGGTGGCCAGGCTGGTCTCGAACTCCTGACCTCAAGTGATCTGCCTGCCTCAGCCTCCCAAAGTGCTGGGATTACAGGCATGAGCCACCACACCCAGCCATGGTAACTTTTTATAGGGATGATGTTAATAATTACTTATTAAGCTTCTGATATTTAATAGCATGTTTTCCTAATAGAGTAACTAATAGAATAGATTACTCATAGCATACCAAAAAGATTAGTTAGGCCAGGCGCGGTGGCTCATGCCTGTAATTCCAGCACTTTGGGAGGCCGAGGCGGGCAGATCAGGAGGTCAAGAGATCGAGACCATCCTGGCCAACATGGCGAAAACTTGTCTCTACTAAAAATACAAAAATTAATTGGGCATGGTGGTGCATGCCTGTAGTCCCAACTATTTGGGAGGCTGAGGTAGGAGAATCACTTGAACCCTGGAGGCAGAGGTAGCAGTGAGCCGAGATCATGCTACTGCACTCCAGCCTGGCAACAGAGCGAGACTCTGTCTCAAAAAAAAAAAAAAAAAAAGAAAGAAAAAGTTGTTCCCCCAAGTTCAAAGTAAATGCTAATTTTGAACAAAATCAAAAGCAAATATAGTCAGCTTCACTATAATCTGGGAACTTACATATGCAGCCCATAAATATGCCTCAGAGTACAAAGAGCTTAGGATTTGAAAGGAGAGGACCTGCGTTCAAGTTTGAGCCCCGACAATTTCTGGTTGTACGACTGTGCATAAGAAATGTCCCCCTATTTGAGCTTTAGTGTTCTCATCTGTAAAAATGAGGATAAATGAATCCAATCTTAGGATAGCTTTAACGTTTAGATAATATATGTGAAAGTGTTTTGAGAACTGTAAAATAATACTATTATGTATGCATTCTTCAGAACGAAGTTTAGTAGCACATTCATTTTGTGTTCAAATAGCTTGGCTTTAAAGAAGCATCTCTTTAAGAATAATCTTTGTTGTGGCTTTATGTTACAGATGGGAAATGTATTTTAAAATTTATTTATGCCCTGACTAGTTGATTTTCCCATCTTTTAATCAAGACCAAACAGACTTTGAAAAAAAAAAAAAAAAAAGCTGTGACCCTCGTATCATGTTACATCAAAACCTAATTGTTAAGTACTTGCTTAGTGCTCTGAGGTTTTTGGGATTTTAGGAGCCATTAAATAATACCCTTTCACTTAACTAGTTCAAGACTAATTGAAAGACATAAGACCAATTGAAAGATAGACATAGCACTCAGGTGGGGATAAAAATATCACCTCCTTTGTTACCGGAAAAGTTGATCAGAGATTGTGATTTGAGATTAAGCAGCCAAGGGGCTTGCTGATGTATTCTTTGCCTGTAAATTAAACAGACTTGCCCACTCAGTCCATGGTATAGCTGGACACTGCAGGCCCTCGTACCTTGTAACATGAGAGCAGGTTGGTTCCAGAAAAGGAAAAGGAAGGGGCTGAGCTCAGATCCTTCTCCCAAATTCACCAGGCAAATAAGTTTGTTCTCACCCCTGTGTGGGAGATAGGGAACACATCCAGAAGTCACTCCATGTGGATACATAAATGTGAAATAAATACTTCCCCCAACAAGAGTTATAAGTTTTATATTATTGACCCTCACAACAACTCTGGGAGGCAAAAAAAAGGTCTCAATTTTATAAATAAACATTGAATTTGCCCAGGGTCATCAGACAGCTAGGAGGTTATAGCAGTGGGAATCCAACCCAGGTATCCCTCCCTGGGATCACACTTCAACAGTTCCAGCCACTGGGGAACTCAAACCACATAGACACCATCTACTTACACATAAAGAAGGCACTGAATCATAATAGCTTCCATGTGTCAGGCCCTTGATGGCTATTTCAATCCCTATAATAACCTTTCACCCAGTGGAGAAGGGAACTAGTGCACAAGTAAGCATCTTACTGACTTGGCTAAGAGATTTGAATTTAAGTGTTAGTATTATATTTCCAAAGCTTAACTGCAATCCAGTTTACTCCACTGACTCGCCCTCACACTTCTAAAAATGCAAAAATTAAAGCCTAGACAAGAAAAGTGACTCGTCCAAAGTCATACTGCTAGAGTCAGGACTGGAACCCATATAGTCTGGTCCTTTATATCCTGATAACATTAGATAATGTACAGCCTTGGCAGTCAGCACAGAGGAATTCAGAGAGGAGAGGGTTTTCTGAAGTACATAGTCTATAACTGAAGGGATGGATTTCCTAAAGCTTGGAGAAACTTATTTTGCTCTGTCTGTGTCTAATGTAGAGGATTAGACCTGCTTGTCCTTGACATTGGCGTAAGAGGTAAGATGAGATGGATGAGGTTTTGGAGTTTGATCTCTGTGTGGACTCAAAGAGACTTACAGATTTTCTGCCAGCGTGGCAAAGGGTTGCTCCTGAGAGTCAGGCTATTCAGGGTCCCTTCAACTCACAGTGCTATCAGCACACAGTCTAGAGAATGAAAGTTATTGGTCACCAGAGGCAAGGCAAGCAAACAAATACTAGACAAAATTTGGTAACAAGAGCTTTTCTGCCTTTAAGATGCTGGAACTTTCTCAAATGCAAATTTTATTTTAAAAGCAGGAATAGGCCAGGCGCGGTGGCTCACGCCTGTAATCCCAGCACTTTGGGAGGCCGAGGCGGGCGGATCACTAGGTCAGGAGATCGAGACCATCCTGGCTAACACGGTGAAACCCCGTCTCTACTAAAAATACAAAAAATGAGCCAGGCGTGGTGGCGGGCACCTGTAGTCCTAGCTACTCGGGAGGCTGAGGCAGGAGAATGGCATGAACCCGGGAGGCGGAGCTTGCAGTGAGCCGAGATCGTGCCCCTGCACTCCAGCCTGGACAACAGAGGGAGACTCCATCTCAAAAAAAAAAAAAAAAAAAAAAGCAGGAATATGTTTTGAGAAGCCTCTGTTGGTTTATTGTTTTCCAGTTCCACATATTGAACCTAAAGCCTGTAACTCATGGAATGAGAGAGAACCCTTTTAGGCTACTTGTAAGAGGTGGGGAGTTACTATGAAAATTATTAGGGAACCAGCAGAAGGCCTGGGTTCTGGTTCTGCCTCTACCACTTACCTATGTGATCATAGACAAATCCAGTCTCTGGGTCTTGTTTCCTAATCTACAGAGTGGGGCTGATTTCCAAGTACTACCGCAATGCATTTCCCCCATAAACTGTTAAATGCATTAGGAACATTAAAAAGAAAAAGAAGAAAAAAATCCAACCTAGCATTTTTTCTAAAAGTGAAATATTAGATCCAGACTTTCTTTTATTCAATTTCAAAATAAAAGCATTACCTCAGAAATATTAAATGTAAAAGATCTAACTTCCTCACATGATTGTGAGTTAATGTTTGTGTAAATATGTTACAAACTATGAAGGGCTATGCAAGTATTGCTGCTGCTATTCTTTTTAGTATTACTCAGCTCCTGCCCTCAGGTCGCTCCCAGCCTAATAGTACAGGTGGAGTATCCCTTATCTGAAGTGCATGGGACCAGAAATGTTTTGGATTTTGGATTTTTTAAGAGTTTGGAACATTTACCTACTGGTTGAGCATCCCAAATCAGAACATCCAAAATCTGAAATGCTCCAAAGAGCATTTGTTTTGAGCATCATGTCAGCACTCAAAAAGTTTTGGATTTTGAAATATTTGGGATTTTTACATTAGTGATACTCATCCTGTAGTTTATGCTCAGGTACTAAAAAGTGAGAGGCAGAAGGATGTGACTAGAAAGAGCCCCAAAACAGAAGTCAGAAACTCTGTGGGTGTTGCACATGCAGTGCTGCGTCTGCTCCTATTCAACCGTGTGACCTCAGCTAAGTCACTTGACCTCTCTAAGCTTTAGATCGCCCTTCTATGAAATGAAGGGGTTAGATAATTTGGCATTTAAGGAGCTTCCCCCCCACAACCCCAAACATTCCAGGATTCGCAGTGTGGCCTAGGATGAGAATCTGTCCCATGGATTCACATTTTTCTCAACAGCAGTGATAGGCTTTTTAGAAAAGGAACTGAAGCCCAGGGAAGTAATAGAAACAGTATATGAAATTTCAGTCTGCTAAGAAAATTGATCTAGAAAGGAATAGCTCTGTTTGGCAAAGAACACCTGTCCCATTTTTGTTACATAAACATGTTTCACAAAGCCAATTTGCTAAATGATTAAGCTAATGAGAAAATATATCCATTCAGGTTTTCTAAGTATAGTGAAGAAAATGTCAAGATGGTTGACTTTCCTTTTCTAACTATAGACAAAATCAAGCCATACCTCTTATCTGAGAATGACCCTTCTCCCCCAAGGAGTCCCAAAAGGTGGGCTTCTTTGTTGATTTAGAGAGTCGATAATTCAGTAAAGTCCCAAGTAAATGGCACAACACAAGCTCAGATTGGGTTTTTGTATTCATATTTTATAAACATTTCAGGACTTTTTTCCTGACCCTTGACCTATTGCCATTCTTAAAGTGAAGATCTTATATCCCGGAAGCTTGGTTAGAAACAACTTCAGGATCATCTCATCCAACTTCTTTCTCTATATAGAAACTACTCTCAGCAATATCTCTGAAAATGTAATGTAGCGGGTTCCAAATCTAGACTGCCTTGATTCACAGCCTGGCTCTGCCCTTAATAGCTCTGAGACCTTGGGCAAGTTACTTAATCTGCTCCAGGGCTCAATTTCTCCATTGGCTTTTTGGCTTAATGGGGATAATAATTGTCCTTACCTCAATGCAAAGGCATAAAAATGATATAATGGACTTTGGGGACTCAGCGGGAAGGTTGCAGGGGATGAGGGATAAAACACTATACATTGGGTACAATATACAGTGCCTGGGTGACGGGTGCACCAAAGTCTTAGAAATTACCATTAAAGAACATACCCATGTAACAAAAACCACCTGTTCCCCAAAAACTATTGAAATAAAATAAAAATAATTGTCCCTACCTCAGATAACCTACCTTTTATATTAAAGTGCTTGGACTATACCTGGCACAAAGTAAATGCTCAATAAACATTAGCTTCTATAGTCATCATCTGCAAGTAAGCCCCTATTTGAGTGCTTCTGGGAACAGCAGAGAGTTCACCCATCCCACCCTCCCTACCTCCATTTCCCCAAGGCAGCCTGTTGACATGTTAGTCAGAATCATTCATATCATCAGCTTTAGAGTCAGACCTGAGTATGAAACCTTATTCTGTCTGCAGCCTTGGGCAAGATAACCTGTGGTATCTTCATCCATAAAATGGAAAGAATCGTACCTATTTCACTGAGCTGTTGTGAGGTCTAGTTAAGGTACTATATAAAAAGTATATAAAGTACTTAACATGGTTCCCAGCTACATAGTAGGCACTCGATAAGTGATAGTTGCTGCTATGATGATGACTGAAGAACAAGAAAATAAAGAACAGAGAGAGGAGGGAGAAAGATAAGAGAAGCAGTAGTAGCCACGTCGGCAGCTGCTGTCTGTCTGTAAAAAGTTGTTTCTGACTAGCTGGGTTCTGCTTCCCTGTGATTTTATTTCACCAGCCCTAGCTGTATCCCCCAGAGCTGCACAGAACACATCTGCTCTGTCTTCTACTTATCAGCCCTTCAGATATTCAAAGAGGGCTGACACAGCCCCCTCCCTACCCATATAGCAACATCAACACCACCACTTCTCAGTGCCCCCTCTCCAGGGAGATATCTCCCATTCTTTAGCTGTCTCTCGGAGAACATAGCTTTTAGGCTCTTTCCTAAGCAGGAGGTCCCTCCTGGCATGCTCCATGTCCTTCTTGAATGGGGCCCAGAGCACTGCAGGACAGTTTCACAGCATGGCCACCATCTTGCTGGGGAGAAACATGATGTCCTACATCCCCCTAGGTTTCTCTCAATTGGTTTGTCCAAGCCAGGCAAATGAGAATGGAAATAGAGATTGTCCTTGCTCACTTTGAAATTCTTACCTAAAATGACCTTCAAAGAAAAAAAATTGCTTGATTTTATTTTTAGGGCACCAGAGGGAGCAGCCAGCACAGCCGTGTTTGCTTTGAAGCAATCCAATGGTGACACAGCCTCACTGAGGCTGTAGACGGGGGTCTCCAGAGATGGAGGCATTACCTGATCAGGAAAGGGGGGGCACTCTTGCTGGGCCGTGGGGAAGAAACAAGAAAGATAGCCTGGTATAGATCAGGGTTCCAGGAGGTTTTGGTGAAAGAGCTGCAGCTTTGAAGTTAGAAAGATCAGGGCCCCTACCCAGTCAGTAATGGCTACAACCTACTGAGTACTCATTGGCTCAGACACTGTACCAGAGGCTGCACCAACATTATTCCATTTAACTATAATCACAACAACCTATGAAGGAGAAACTATGATTCCCATTTTACAGGTGAGAAAACTGGCTCTCAGGTTATATAATTTCTTCAAAGTCATACTGGTAGGAAGTGACAGACCTAGGATTTGACTCTAGGTTTGCTTCACTCTTTTTAACCACTGTGCTTTATAGACACTTATTAACCATATGGCTGTAAACAAGTGGTAACCACTTTGAGCTTCAATTTAATCATCTCCACTGTCTTGCATGGTTGTTGTATGGATATGTTGTCTGGCATATAGTAGGCGTTCAAGAAATTTTAGTTTCCTCCTTCTCAAATTCCAGCTCTCCCACTCAAAGTGACTGAAGAAAGCCACTTTTCTTGGATGCAGCTTTCTCATATGAAAACTGGGTGTGGTTTATGAACCTCTAATCTTGCATATGACAACCCCAGCATGGTGCAACTCAGGCCTGATACTTCAGCCTCCCATCCTCTTTTGCTTCCTAGCACACGATTACAATGATCGTTTCTCCCAACAAACATCATATTTACAAGCCACAAATAACAAAGTAGAAGATGCTGGAAGAGCTCTGGCATGTTAATTAAGAACAATATCAGAAGCAGGTGGGCAGAAAATGCCAACGAATGAGAAGCAGAGGCAGAGTAGCTCTGTTTGTTGACAGAAGCCAATGAGTATTGTACGTTAATTGGGGAAGTGGGTAAACATTTGCCAGCAGCTTGCCCCTCAGTGCATTGGAAGATAGACAGGCTAGGCCCTTCCCACTCCTTGCCTGTCCATCTGCCCACAACCCAAGAGATACAAATACAGTGTGCTTTGCTCTGAGTTCCTTATAAGCGGAGAGGATTCCAGGGGCGGATGTGTCTTTTTAAAGACCCTCCTGAGCATACCAGGTTTCCATCTAGATACAGCTGAAGATAGTTTCCCCTTCCCCTTGCCAGCCTGCCTTTGATACTTGGCCTTGGCCCCCAGGGCCTCCACTTCCCCATATCCCCCACCCCTCCATGGAAGAAGACACCAGAACCATCTTATTAGGAGCAGCTTGAGTTAAGCAGAAGATAAGATTGCCTGCCTCAGGTGCTGCAGTCAGGCCCAGAGCAGCAGAGCAGCAGCCTCAGGCCTGACTAGAGATTGCTTGCCCTCCCATCACACACTTGGAGTTGCCCATTTATCTGTGTGTCCACCATCTTTACAGTTGCTCTCACACACAGCAGTCATTATGGAACACCTGTTCTGGGCAAGACACTTTGCTAATTATATATTTTTTCTCATTTAATTCTCACAATGAGTCCTGCAAGATTGATACTAACTCCAAAGCCACAAAGCTGATAGCCAACACAGCTGTAATTTAAAGTAGAGTCTTTCTAATTCCAAAGCCTGTGTCGTTTCCACTAAACCAGTATTACTCAACTTTTAAACATTGTGACCTCTTTTGATAAACAGGAAAGTTTTGTTTCTTCTCTCACTCGCAGATTCAGAAGACCTTCATGTCCCATCCCTGCCCGTTGCCTAGGAGGGCATAAACCTAATTTAGGATCCCTGTATGATTAACGTATCCCACTCAGCCAAGATTTTGTCTAGCTTGACTTTCAATAGTTCATATTACAAAATTATGATTTTTTTTAATTTTTAAAATATAAAGTTGTATTATGACATTGCCTGTTTTTTTTCCAAACTAAATATACCATCAACAAGGGTATGATATGCCTCCCCTCACCAGGGGAGATCTTCATCGTTGGGCATGGTGGAATGGCCATTCTACAGTTTATAATGTAGTTCTAAGAGGAAGATCAGCCCCAAAGGCTTAGCTGTAGTCCCACCAAGCAGAAGAGTCCCTCCCCTCTATTAGGGGCTAACCAAGCAGAGGTCTCTAGGAATGCCAGTCAGTTGTTAACCAGCACCTTTCCCAAGGGCCCCCTGTTCTGCCAGCCAGGCTGAGCTGTGCAAGAAAGGTACCTCCACCAAACTTGACTATGAGATTTGATTTTCCTGAGCCCTGGTTTCCTCATTTATAAAATGAGAATAACAACACCTGCCTTGCAGGTTATTTTGAAGATCAACTAAGATACTGCGAGACTCTTCGTGCCAGTGCATAGTTTCAGAATCAGTGTGCATAGATAAAATGAAGGCCATGTAGAGAATATAGTGCTTGTTTCAGTCTTTTGAATATGTGTTCTTCATCTTTTTAGGTAACTCAACTGGACCCAAATAAATCATTATTGGAGGTAAAGTTGTTCCCTCAAGAAACCCTTTTCCTTGAAGCAAAAGAGTAAACACGGCCCAGCGGTGGAACCAGCCATTCCTTGACAAGCCAGCAGCCTGCGTCAGGAGAAGGGCTCCTCGCCAACCCACCCACACGCTCGTCTCACTCAATTCAATGTCACACTTCTGCCTCTTGCAAAATTGCTGGAAAAAGTAATAATAAATATAGCTACTTAAGATTTCCCATCCATGAGTATATATTCCCAACCCTTATTACAGAGAATTACAACTCTGCCACCCTCCCCTACCCCCTGCACTTCACCCTCCTTCAATGACGAATGCATTGTTCAAGTGTGAGTGATCACTAAATAGAATTTTTACCTCTCCAGTGCCCATCTTTTCCCCACAGTGTCTAGGACAGTTCTGTCTGTTCTGTGACACCAGGATGCTGTATATTTGATATATGTCTTTTTATTTTCATGACTGAATTTCTACTTCATCACCTAATTTTAAGGGGCAGAGGGAAAAAAAGTCAAATGAGACATTGTCGGCATGGAGATTAAACATTGTAGGAAAAAAGTATACCATTTTTGTTAGAACTTTCTGATGGCTTTACTAAGATGTCAGGTTTTGTTTGAGGACTGAATTTGACATATATGCAAGATATTTATTTACTGCTGCTGCCTTGGGTCTCCAGGTTCTACCTAGGAGGTATTTGCTGTTCCATTGCAGCATAGGGAAACTGTTCAAGCACACAATGTGAATGTTGAGATCATGTGCAGAGAGGCCAGTACCAAAACTTCAGTATCTGGCCCAATGGCAAGAGGCTACTGTTAGGTTTGCATTTGGGCAGTTAGAACCTCACAGATACCAGCTCCCAAGTTGCTAGTCCATCAGTGTAAACTGAACACAATTCTCTCTTGCTTTCTCTCTCTCTACTCCCTCACACATTTGGACCTTGTCACTTGGTGTTTAAGCACCTTGCCTATCAACAAAATCTGATGAGCAGCCCCATGGACTCTCCTGTAATAAGGAACTTGCTCTACTATTTTATTCTTTTAATGTTTTAGTATTTGATATTGGACTCAAATGAAAGGGATCTCATTCTGTGGCTGAAAAATCAGACTTCATATGTTGAAGAGAGCAAACTTGGGGACTCAACTCAGAAGACATGTGTTGCCTGAAACCTGCATATAATAATTTTTGATTTGATTTAGTAAGTGTGGATTTTTCTTAATCTACAGATTTGGGGTTTGGGGTTTAGATCATGAGAACACCGTTTATACCTTCACAGCCAATGATTTATTTTTAGTCTTGAAATATTTCTCCATATCTGTTTTTGTGTCACCTGTGGGTTTTATCCTAGGGGTTGGGATCCTGATTTTAACATTTTGTACTTGTCCAAAAAAGAGTTCAAATGCTGGGTTTGTTCCCCCAGCCTCGGCCAAGGGGTTCTCAGAAGATTCTAACCAAAGCTGGAGATAGGTCTGCTCATTTTCCTTCTGCCCAGAAGTGGATGTTGGCCAGGAAAATTACACCTTGTGTCTTCTCTGATGCTCCAACCAGGGACCTCTCCAGATTACTATCTAGCACAGACTAGTGCTACATCTGCCTAGGTATGGGCTTTCTCTGGCAGCAGGGGTCTCTCTAGGGAGGCTGAGAGACCCATGGGTCTCCCTTCAGGGGAAGTGTTCAGGGGAGTTCAAACTGAACACTTCTCTCCAGCTCTATTCCTATCTTCCTAATCTAATGGCTCTACAAGATAGTCATTTCCAGTGCTACAGATGCACCAGGGCACCACCTCTTTTTTTTTCTAGGTAGACCTTGTTCTGTAGCTGCTGTGAAGAAGCTGCAGCCCTGAACTCAGGTCATACTCAGGAACAGCAGCAGGGGTGTGGGTGGGGTTTGAGGGAAGGTACTCTGAATTCACCTTCATGTTTAACCTGTTCCATCTGACTTGGGTTTCTTCATTATATTGTTCCCTCCCACTCACCTTCACTTCTGTATTACAACAATATAGACTTTACTCTAAAGCCAATTTCATGGAAGTTATTAAATGCTACTTGAATGTGTGTGAAGTTGATACAACCTTTTTCAACCTGCCTTAGAAAGTTCTTTTGGCCTACTCAGCCCCATGATTTCCTATGCTCTAGGCCTCATAACTGGGAAAGGCCTCAGCTAATTGTCACTGTTCACTCAGGACATGATGGTCTACTAAGCTTCAGACAAAAGGCCAAAGCAATTTTATCCTTTTCATACAAGCAGAGCATTAAAATGACTTCCCATCACCACAGAAATAGCAGTGTCCTCTGCAGTTCTTCCTCCTACCATTAGGCTTCCTTGGGCTTTACATCCCAGCCTCCAGGCCCAGTAAGTGAGTCAGTCTGAATATTTGCTTGGCATTCTTATGCCCAACTGTTGACAGTGAAGCTCCAGGACTCTTTGTCATCCCCCATTCCAGTTTACTCCCTTGTGTTCTTGGACTGCTGGATGTGCAGTTGCAGCATTAGTTTGAAAGTTAAAGGAAGTGTTGCCAATTTCCCATTGCCTTTAAGAAGGTGCAGGGATTTTTTTGGAGGTTTCTGATTTCGGATGTTGCCATTCTCTGGCACTACTAGTTTTATAGCACACACAGATGTTCATCTCTGGATTGTAAGCATCCAGAATCAAAGATGAATGAGAGCATCTTTTATGGAATCTACCTTTTTAACATAAGAGAGTAAGATTTATGCTTTTATAGATTTTACTTGCTGCTGACATTAGAAACATATTAGTCACATAATAACATCTAAGTGTGCTGGTCAGTAGAATAGGTTTTTAAGAGGTGGAGAGCTCTGGCAAATTTCCCCCAAAGTATAGACTTTTTCATTTGAATGTGGGAGAGGGTCTTAATTCTCTCCACAACAGCATCACTGATTGACACATTTCTACCCATCCTTTTCTGTCCCTTAGCCATCCAGTCCTGGGTCCCCACAAGTGGATGGGACTTGGAGTCTTTAGTTCAGTCCAGGAGTAACTCATATAGGCATTGCACATTATAGTCTGTGTAACCCTTTCACCTGTATTTTCTCTTTTGATCCTTTTTAAAATTCTTAGAGGAAGAGAGATCTTCACATACATATAACCACAGCCACATACACACACATTCCAGAGACTTCAGTGTCTTCCAAGTTGAACCTCTCTTCTGCCACTTAGTAGCTGCGTGACCTTAAGGTAAGTAACCTCTCTGAACCTCAGTGTCCTTACAACATTCTGATAGCACTTTGCAATTGGACACACCTTTCACACATCATAATAGTCTCCCGCTATGAGGGAAGCAGGGCAGAGATGATGATTCCATTTTTGCACAAGGGGCTTAGAGGATAGTGGCTTGCCTAAAATCACACAGCATGTCAGTAGAAGGGTCAGGACTTAAAGTGCTAACTCTAATTTTCCACTGCTTGTCTACAAAGAATCTCTAATTTTTTTTTTTTTTTTTTTTTTTTTTTGAGACAGAGTCTCGCTCTGTCGCTCAGGCTAGAGTGCAGTGGCACGATCTCGGCTCACTGCAACCTCCATCTCCTGGGCTCAAGCAGTTCTCCTGCCTCAGCCTCTCAAGTAGCTGGGATTACAGGCATGTGCCACCATGCCCAGCTAATTTTTGTATTTTTAGTAGAGACAGGGTTTCACCATGTTGGCCAGGCTGGTCTAGAACTCCTGACCTCAGGTAATCGGCCCACCTCAGCCTCCCAAAGTGCCAGGGTTACAGGCGTGAGCCACGGCGCCCGGCCAAGAATCTCTAAATTTTATATTCAAGAACGGATCTTGGAATCCTCTACAGTTGTACATAAAAAGTTAAACATCACTTTGGGAGGCAAAGGCAGGAGGATTGCTTGAGGCCAGAAGTTCAAGACCAGCCCTGACCACATACCAAGACCCTGTCTCTAAAAAAATAAATAAATAAAAAATAAAACTTTTCATTAGCCAGGCATGCTGGTACTTGCCTGTAGTCCCAGCTACTGTTGAGGCTGAGGCAAAGTGATCACTTGAGCCCAGGAGTTCAAGGCTACAGTGAGCCATGATAGTGCGACTGCTACTCTGGCCTAGGCATCAGAGTAAGACCTCATCTCTTTAAAAAAAAAAAAAAAAGAAAGGTTAAACATGTATTTTCCTGGAAAGGGAATCTGTATTCATCAGATTCTCAGTGGGACCTATTGATCAAAAAATTTTAAGAATCACCATTTACGTCATCCTATTTGGGGAGAAGAATCTGTCCATTCTTTTTATCAATCCGTATTTTTATCTAAAAGAAACCTCCAGAGGATGAAATACAATCACTAGACTTTCTTGCCTTGAATATCTCTGCATTTAGTATTTTGTCCTTGTCTCAAATAATCTGCTTTGGAAGGTGACACTTAACCCCAACTGGCCACACAGCTCCTCACTGTTGCATTTTGAAAGTTTGGTCTGAAAGAAAATATTAATAAAAGAGACATGATCTCCAGTCTTCAGTCTATAAACTCTTTGTACACTGTCTATTAGTTGGGGTTCTGGGCTCTCAGAGGTGGTATGATGTGTGGTTAGGAACACAGCCTCTGGAACCATGTTGCCTGAGTCTTAGCCACTCCTCCACTTACTAGCAACGTGTCCTTAAGAAGTCATTTCGCATTCACATTCCTGTGCCTCAGCTTTTTAACTATAAAATGAAAATAACAGTACCTGGATGATAAGGTTTTATGAAGATTAAGTGAATTAATGTGGAACAGTTAGGAAGCTGTTATCTGTTCTGTAAACTCATGGGATTATCACAGGAAAGGAGAGTGGGTGATGGCAGCAGTGAGAAGTGTGTGGGCGAGGACACAGAAAATGTGAAAAGTAGACACAGGAAGTCCAGGAGCACTGCTCTAGGACCCATCAGAGAAGGGTCAGAGAGCCCTGCACAATGTCACTGTGTTACGGGTGTCTACAGAAAAGCCGAGAACATGATGTGAAGAGAGGAGGCGGAGAACTAAACTTGCTGAGCACTTACAATGTGCCCAGTACTGTGCTTGGAGCATTACAGACCTCTTTCCTCATGTAACCTCACAATAACTCTATGAGATGGTGGTCTTGGCCCTATTTTGAAGAGGGAACAGGCTCAAAAGGTGAAATGATTTGCCTGAGTTCAACAGCTTATAAAGAACAGAGCAGAGTTTTGGACCAAGACCTTTGACTCAAAAACCCCTGCTGTGTTTATGACAATACAGTATCTTCAAGGAAAGTGTCATATATGACCAAGGCATTTCTTTTTTTCTTTTTTTCTTTTTTTTTTTTTTTTTCTGTAGAGACAAGGTCTTGCTCTGTTGCTCAGGCTGGTCTTGAACTTCTAGGCTCAAGCAGTCCTCCAGCCTCAGCCTACCAGTGTTGGGATTACAGGAGTGAGCCACCATACCCAGCCGAAGGCGTTGCAATTAATAATGGCAATAATAATAACATTTTTAAAGTATTGGTGGATGCTAAGAGGGGTAAAGTCATATTTTTATAGTAAACTCAGCTCTCCAAAATACTCATTCTTCATACGGTTCTTAGTGCTAATGTTATATAGAAATGTGTCAGGAGCTAGAATTTAAGCAACACCTTATAAGTGCATGCAGTGATTTAAGAAGGATCTTATATATTCTACTTATTTGACATCTTCAAAATCCATTCTCTGCTCCTTCATCCTTCATCCCACTACCTTTTCTTCCCTTCAGACCTTTACTGTCTGTCACTTGAGTTATAAAACTACACCCTAGACCGGGCGCGGTGGCTCATTCCTGTAATCCCAGCACTTTGGGAGGCCAAGGCAGGCGGATCATCTGAGGTCAGGAGTTCAAGACCAGCCTGACCAACATGGAGAAACCCCGTCTCTACTAAAAATACAAAATTAGCTGGGCATGATGGCGCATGCCTGAAATCCCAGCTACTCAGGAGGCTGAAGCAGAAGAGTCGCTTGAACCCAGGAGACGGAGGTTGCGGTGAGCTGAGATCATGCCATTGCACTACAGCCTGGGTAACAAAAGTGAAACTCCATCTCAAAAAAAAAAAAAAAAAAAAAACTGCATCCTAATTGATCTCCCTTTCTCCAGTCCCTTCTATTATAGACCGGTCACCACACAACTGCCAAAAAGAGCTTTCTAAAACACCTGCTTCACTGTGTCACACCCTGCTTTGATCCTCTCAAAGGCTTGCTGTTGCCCTCCAAATAAAATCCAAACTCTTGGCTTGGATTTAAAACTCTGTCATCTGGCCGCTACCTCCCTCCCCATCTGTATCTCCAGCCATGCCCTCAACACACATCCTGAGCTACCTGCAGTTTCCTGAAAGTGCCAGTTCTCTGTCATCTCTGGCCTTGCACACTGTGTCCTCTGCCCTAATAGATTCCTACCATCCATCCATCCTTCACTTTCAGTTTATACTTCACTTCCTTCAAGATGGTTTCTTGACCATTGCCACACCCTCCTCACACTCCTCGGGTTAGACACAGGAGTGCTGTGAGTCTTCAGACTTGTTGCTGCCCTTTTCATAGCACTGGATCACTCTGAGCTGTAACTCTCAGCTTGCATACTCTTTCTCCCCTAACCCCCAGACTGGGACCCCCGCAAATGGCCTGAGTTACTTCATATTCTTGAAGCCTAATCAAATGGCTAGTACATAATAAGCACACAGTAAGTTTGGATTTATTAACTTAATTTATAAAAATAAATAATGGCATCCATGTACTAATTAGATGTCCACTTCCATCTCTAGCATCCAACTCGTGGGAACATTGAGAGGGCAGAGACCAGATCTTAATCATCCGTTTATTTCCAGAGTCAGCCCAGGGTCTGGCACATAACAGTCACACACCCAATGGTTACTGAACTATTAATTAATTGGAGCTGAAGCAAAACCAATTGGAGCTGCTGAGGAAAGAAAAAGACTAAAGGAATTGGTTTTGAGTACCTAGGTAAGCCCAGCACACTGCTAGGGCCTTAATAGACTCTGTCCTCCCATGCCATCCTCAGAATTACTCTGTGAGGTTGGTACTATTATTATCCTTATTTTACAGCTAAGAAAACATTCAGAAAGATTGTGTCACTTGTCTCAGAGACACAGGTAGTAGGGAGAGGAGCTGGGCTTCTACTCTGGATCTGTGCCCAAAGCTCATGCTTGCTGTTTTCCCTCATTGATGAGGTCCCCGTTCCTGAGATGCTTCAGTGGTGGAACTTCTAACCCACAGAGAGTAGAGTATAATAAAAATCCTCACATACTCCCATCCCCCTTGCTTTCTAGGATACTGTACTGCCCTCATTTTCTTCTCACCTCTCTGAAAGGTCCTTCTCTGTCTCTTATGTAGGGTTTTCTGCCTGCCTATTAAACGTCAGCAGCCCTTGAGTTCCTTCCTCAGTTTGCTGCTCTTCTCTCAAACTCTCCTTAGATAAGAGGCAATCTGTACTTTGAGACTCAGCTCCAATTTTGTGTAAGGTCTAAACTCCGTGAGAGTAGGGTCAATCTGACTTGTCTTATCGTCATCACAGGTCTGACTCTGCATAGGTGCTTGATAAGTACCTATTGATAATACAGTGAACACTTCTATCATGTTTATTGTATGCCGGTCACTATGAGATTTATTTGTTTTAACTCATTTACTCCTCAACAACCGTATAAAGTAGGAGCTATTATCCTCAACTTATTTGTGAGCAAGCTGAGGCACAAGAGGTAATTTGCCTACATTCACAAAGCTAGTAAACCAAGGATCCAGGATTCAAACACAGGCAATTTGGCTCCAGAGTTCAGGCTAGTACTATACTTCACTATTTCTCCAGGAAGGCTCCCCAACCCCCAGGACAAGTCAAAGTCCTCTTCTAGTCCCTTTCTTTGCCCCTAGCAGAGCAGTTATCACATTATTGTGATTATTTGTACAGAAGTCTCCCTCTCTGGACCCTGACAGGTCCATCTTCACATGACCCAACACAGGGCACAGACAGTAAGTGTTACATGAGTGAATGAACTCCAACACTACCCTATGAGGTGGATCATACCATAGCTGTTTCATACATTGATAAACTGAGGCTTAGAGTAGTTAAGTCATTTGCCCAAAGTCTCATAACTACTATATGACATATCCATGACCCATGATTGAGGCTGTCTATCTCCAAAGCAAATATTTTTCCCACCATGCATTTCTGGCAGACCAGCATTTAATTTAAGTACTACTTAAGTACCTTTGCCTTATGGAGAGCAGGTTAGATTTGACTCATCCATTCATTGCTGTCTTTAAACACCAGATCCTTAGCCTCTACCTTTGACCCAGAACTTCCAAGCTGGAGTGGGTTGGGGCCACCAATTTCAGGGTGGTGCTAGAAGAGTTCCAGGAGCTGTGGGAACCCAGAGGAGGTCCCCAGTCCGGGCTGTCAGAAAGGCTTCTGGGAATAGGTAAACCCCATCTGGGAGCCTGGTAATCTGAGATCCCGGAATTAGAAAAAGGAGGCATCCTACAGGATCAGAATGGAGCTTGCCCTTCTGGGATCAGATCTCCAGGCTCCTGGAAATGTTACCTGCCTTACACACTGGTAACATTTGTATAGGACTTCTGAGGAGACAACGAAGAGAGTCTTACTGAAACTTTTCTCTGATTTGGGGGTCAGGTGGAAGCACAGGTAAGGGGAACCAGGTGGGCAGTCAGGAACTTTGGTATATTCCCAGAGATGGGCACCAAGGGCTCAGCTGAGCATCTCACACGAGAATCATAATCTTCCTAACTGTGTTTGCGTAGTCCTTGTCTCATTTCAGATCATTTCCAAATGCAGTAGGTCTACCTTTCCTCATTCTATAGATGGAGAAACAGGCTCAGAGCAGTGAAGTGACTTGCCACAGCCTCCATTCTGGCATGCCTTTAACCATGGCAAGCATCAGTGAGGAACTAGTTTGTGCAGCTATCACTTGCATGCCTTGGTTTCTTCCAGCTGTGCATTTTATGCATCTTTTACATGTTGCAGGAGGTCAGGGGCTCAGAGAGAAGAACACATTCTCTGCAATAAAAGTGGCACTGTGTCATGGGGGCATGGAGCCCAGCCCCTGCCTTTGGGGAGCCCCACTAGAAGCCAGCAGTGCTAGGGTGTGCCCCAAGGAGTGGAGGCCCTGAGAAGAGATGGGGTGAAGGGGGGCAGGTGCACTTCCCATAGAGGCTTGGGGCAGGCCCCGGGCTGTGCTTCTTCCTATTTACTGGGGCAGTACCACTTTGTGCCTTGAGGCAAACAGGTTCTGGTTAATTGAGCTTCTGGAGAGGGTGGTAGGTGGAGTGGATGAAGTGACCTAGGGAAGGAGATGGCCCAGAATCTCTCTGGGATCTTGAGCATCCCAGGCCAGTGAAGGGTCTGGGCCATGCAAATCTGCCAGAATTCTGGTTCTGAAGGGAGTTTTAAGATTATGGTTCAAAATCAGAGGCACCTGAGAAGGCACCTCCTATTGCCGGCTCCCAGCTCCCCAGTCTTCCTTCTCATGAAGGCAGAAGGGTGCTGAGAAGGGAACTGTTCCTCTCTGGACTGAAAGCAGAGAGGGATTCACTCATTCAGTAACTGCCTAATAAATAATAATACCCAGCACTTCTTGAGTGTTTACTATATGTCAGGCACTGAGAAGGACTTTACATGAATTGCATTATTGAATCCTCACAATGACCCAATGAAAGTTTTGCTTCTACCCCCATGTTACATGTATTAAATGCAGGACTCCAGCCCAGCTCAGCTTCCACACTAGTAGCCCTGCTTAGCCCAGGCCCTGCGACCAGAGGTGCTGAGGACACTTGAAGGGGCTGTCAAACATTTGACTGGCAGTGAGAACATAGGGTAGTCCATCCTGTGGGGTAAAGGAGGCTGTAGGTGCACAGAAGGGAGTGAAGAAGCCCCTAAAGAAAGAGGCTTCTTTCAAACAGCGAAGGAAGTGCTCCCTCCATTGTGCCCCAACCAGTTCAGGGAACTGGGGAGGGAAAGTGGCCTCAATCCCACTTTCAAGTCTCCAACCAGCTCTCTCCTGAAGACCCAAAGAACAGTTCTCACCCCTCCCCCCACTGGCTGTATGCCCCTGGGAAAGTCACCTGCTCTGTATACCTCAGTTTCCTCTGGTATAAATCCGAGGTAAAGATGGGTAACTATGTGGCTTCGGAGAGGGTAGAATGCAGAGGTACTTGGAGAGTTTGCGGAGTCAGTGTGTGCCTATTGTGCCTCTGACAAGATCTCTGAGGCTGGGTCGTAAAGGGTGAGTAGAAGTTCTCCAGGTAACTGATGTCTTGGGACTGGGAATCTGTAGGAGGCAGACATATGTGCGTCAGTGCCGCAGCAAGCCTGGAGTCCCTACCTCCCATCGCAGCAGGCTGTCTACTTGTGCGCCAGCTCCTCCACCCCGACCCTGCCAGGAAAGAGTTATGTTGGGCTGTGCACCAACTAGTATCGAGCTTCAAGTTGAAGAAGGATGGGCCAGGCAGGCCCTGAGCCAGTCAGGTAGCTAGAAACTCCCTGGTCCACACACAGCCTAGGAGACTGCGCATCTCAGCAGGAAATGTGAGGGGTGGGGGAAGAAGTCCGAGTAGAACTCTTTATTTGAGGGAAAGCCGCCAACAGGGCTGTGTGTGTGTGTGTGTGTGTGTGTGTGTGTGTGTGTGTGTGTGTATTAGGCTTCCCCCTCCCAGACCTGTTCCCCTTATCTCCAGTTTGTTGGATAACCCGAAGGTTACAGGCTGGGAATAGGCTGGGACTACTTGGCTGCCGAAGGTCACTCGCCGCACTACGGAGGGAGGGAGTCTGGACTCAAACCCAGGCTGACCCGGCCCAGGAACCAGCCCGAATGCCCCTCCTCTCTACAGTCTCCTTTCTCCACAAGTAGTGGCCTGGCTGCCTATCCTCCAGGCAGTCTGACTCCGGGGTAGCCGGGAGGCGAGCCCAGAGAGGGCTGGCGACTCGCTCACGGTCACACAGTGCGGCGGAAGCTCCGTATCTGGATGGCTCATCAGCCCCGGAGCCGATTCTCGGAATCGCTATTTCAAGGGGTCCTCTTGGGAGATGGAAACCAGGAGAAGGATGGCCCAAAGAAGACCACGTAGCCGGTGCACACCATCCGCAATGCCCCAGGAAGACCTGCAAATCACACTCTACATCCTCATCCCTCCCTCCTCCTGGTCATTTCCGGGTCCTTCCAAACTCAGCTGGGTGGGAAAACTGTAAAAACTAACTTAAAAATTGTTAATGGGAGAGAGGTCACAAAGGAGGCGGGTTCCAAGATAAATATACTATTATGAGTAACTTTCTTATGATCCTGTCATAACCTGTTAGACGCTGTAGTGGGTGAAAAGATTCCATTCACAATAGCTACATAAAATACGGAAGGGAGAATATATGTTTAAGAAACAGAATTGTTGAGAAAAAATGACAGCAGTTACCAAGATACATAAAAGTCATGATAACGTCACACCAAGTCCTAGATGGAAATGTCTCACATTGTGAAGATGCATAATATCCCTCAAATTAATTTCTAAAGGTACTTAAATTCCCCCCCCCCCCAATATTTTTTACTTTTTTGGAAGTAGCTTTAAAATTCCTAAAATATTTATTCAGAAGCCTGTATTTTGAAAATAGCCATGAGAATGTGGAAAAAAAGAAAAATCAGAAGGATGACTTGCCCTCCCAAATACTACAGAACTACAATAATTAAAATGGTGAGGCTGGTGCAAGAAGAGTAAACAGCTCCCTTGAAGAGAATATGCTGAGATCAACCTACAGCCATCTGAGAATTTGGTATATAGTATATGGTCAGTAGGGGAAAGGGTTCATTGAAGAGTGCTGTGATAAATGGCTAATTATTGAGGAAAATGAAGCTACAAACCACACCTTCCATCAAAATTAATTTCCAATAAACTAAAGATATAAATGTAAATAATGAAAAAAGAGCTAATACAAATATAGGCCAATGCTTGTAGACGGTTGGATTTGAGAAATCCTTACATATACAACTGTAAATAGATTCTACAAAAAATATATAAATTTTGGTCTACATAAACGTTTTAAAACTCCAGCATTACAATAGCAAGACAGCCACAAAAAAGTGAGGAAACGCAGCACATGTTACAGACAGAAGATACTATTGTCCTTGATATATAAATTACTATTACAAATTAAGGAAAGTAGAAGCTCTATGATTGAAAAATAAGCAAATGATGTATATAAATAATTTTTAAAACAACTTAACTGACCGATCCATGTAGGAAAAAGTAAGGAATAACTAAGGAAATGCAAATTATAACAATGATATACTATTTTTCTTGTTTGAATTGGCAAAGATTTAAAAGATCAGCAAGATGTGCTTGTATTGAGTGTGTTCATTGATACCTTTCCTGTGGGCTATTTGATAGCTATCAAAAGCCTTTAAAAAATGTAAAAAGCCTCTGGCCGATCAATCTTATTTTTAGGAATTTATCCTAGGTAAATAATTGGCAAATTCACAAAGGATGTTTGTGGTAGCAATATTTATTAGAGCAAAAACTGGAAACAAACAAAATACCTATTAACAGGGAAATGGCTAAAGAAAGAGGGATCCATGCAATGGAACATTAAACAATCATTTAAAAGGTTATGTAGATAGATTAATATTAAAATCCTTATATTTGTAAACAAAAACCAAGTACTGTAAAGTATATTTTTGTCAGTGTAGGTAAACAGGAAAAAAAATTAGCAAAATTCACCAAATATATTTTGCTGAATTTTCTAAAATGTTTTATAAGACTTTTATTCTATCAGAACAAGCAATAACAGTGTTTCCTTTTGGGAAACCTAACCTCTCACATCAGAGGTCCCTTTCTTGGGGAAGTTTCCCCTCATTCTCCTTCCCCCATTCCCAAGATTAGACTTCTCACTGTGAGGTCATTGATAGGTGACTGTGTCCCCAGTTGGCTAACAAGTTCTGTAAGGGCCCATTATGGTTGATTTGTCTCGGATCCGTAGAGCTTGGCACATACTAGATGCTCAACAAATGCTGTTACATAAACGAATTAATAAGTGAATGAATGAATGACTCCTACTTTCATGTTTCTGTGAATGATTAGTGAACTGAATGGAATCGAACCAAATGGAAGCCCCTAGGTCTGATCCTACCCACTCGGAACGGAAGGTGAGGAGAAAAAAACCTAAGAGTGGGAGTTGGATCTGGATTTCTGTCTTTTTCGAAGTTCGGCAGCACTCTGGCCCCAGGCAAGTTATGTCGCCTTGTTGAACTTTGGCTACCTCGTGTCTGAAATGTGGAACATCGCATCTTCCCCCAAGGACTGCGTGCCAAGCAAGAGAGCACACACCGAGTGTTTATCAGAGTGGCTGTACTCAGTAGACGCTCACAAATAGAAACAAATAGTGGGGCGGTGAACACCGCTCTCCATGCGTTTGTCTCAGGCTTAGATGCTCCCAACCAGAAAATCGTGAGAAGCCTGGCGACACTGGGCAGACGCCTCCCTTCCGCCTGCCCGGAAGACGCGAGGGCTTGATCCAAAGGAGGGCTGCAGCCGCTGGGACTCCGCCTCGGGGGCTCCTGCCGCTCAATCAGCACCAGTGCCCTCGCTCCTCCACCTTCAGTTGGTTGTTCTGCCCGGCCTTTAGGTCCGGGGTCCGGATAGAAGCTGAGCACCAGCGGGTTCCCGGCCAACGGGTGTGGAGGGGTGCATTGGGCCAGGAGCCGATTCGCAGCGCCCGCTGCGCCTGCACTGTGCAGACAGACCTGGCTTTGGATGAGGGTACTCCCGGGTTTGATTTTTGCACTGTTACTCACTAATTGTGATAATGTGGAACAAGTCATCTCACCTCTCCGAGTCTGTTTTCTCACCTGACAAGTGGAATAATCGGACCTGCCTCGCAGAGAATGGTGCGACTTCAGTAAGCAACTGTAGGGAAATCGCTGGGCTCCTGGCCCTTAGCTGGAAGAGCGCCTGAGAAACCCGGCGCCACCACAGGAGTACTTTCTGGCTCCGAAATTATGCCCGGTCCCAGGTCGTGGCATAGATCCGTGGCTATGACCACGGAAAATGACCATTTTAGCGGTGTCAGAGGACGGGGACAGGAAACCAAGCTGCGCGTCTCCCTGTCCACAGAGGGTGTGCGCGGCTGAGGGTCTTCATCAGCATGACTCATGAGTTGATCTGGAGGAAAATGTCGCTACGTGTCTGTGTGTACACGTGCGTGTGTTCACATAGGAACAGGAGAGTCTGTGGTTGTGCGGGAAAACGCGTGTAGGGCAACCCGTGGAGATTCCTTCTCCCAAAGGCACTTTCCCCCTTTCCTCTGCGCCCCATTCCCGGGCGGAGAGTATCAGCCAAACTAACGGAATCCGGCGCGGCCAGGGAAGGGGTGGGTGCGGGAGGGGCCATTCCGTCCCGGAGCCACCGGTTTGGGGATAATTACTTTTAATGTCAGAAAGATTTAGTTTAATATCATCTCTATTAGGCTGCCGGGAGGGTAATTAAACGGGACGCGTCGCAGCCGGCAAACAGATGGCGTCTGCTTGCTCCGAGGCCGCGGGCAAACAGCGCAAAAGTCAATGCCTCCCGGGTCCCCCATCGGCGCCCCTGGCTCTTTTACTCAGAGCTACACTACTCACCCTCGGCCCCCTTCCCCACGCCGCGTCTCCAGCCGGCTCTGCGCCCTAGGCCCTCAACCCCGGCCTCACCCCAACGCAGTCCCTTTGGACGCCACCAGTTCCTGGGCGTGGGCGTGGGGGATGGGGCCGGGGGCGAATAGGGATGGGGTGGATTTTCTTGGCTGGGCCCTCTCACCCGGGCCCCCAGCCCCTGGCACAGCAGAGGCGTCAGCAAATGATTCTGAGCTAAGAGTACGCGTGTGGATGTGTGAGGAAGACCCTCTGCTCTCAGCCGCCTCATTTGTCCCGGAGGGTTTTGGCTTTTTCTGCCCGGGGCCCAACTGTAGAAGTAAGACTGGAGCTCCGCGCATAAACCAGGGCATACCTGCGTAAGAATGTGCTCCTGTCGGCGTGTGCTATCACCGAGGTGGAAATCTGTGGGAGTCTGGGAATGTCACACACCAAGTGGATGGCCCAGGATGGGGACATGCTTATAAGAACACTGTGAGGTCAAACTCACTGAAGGGGTCCCCTTGAGCCGGAGGGTAGCATCAGAGTTGAGCCTGGGCCCGGTGGTGCTCTCTGAATGCTGGCGTGAGAGTGTGTCCCAAACTTTGCAGAGAGTGGTCACACGCACGTGGGAGGGGGTGTGTCCAAGTGTGAAGCTACACTCAGGTTGGGAAGGGGGTAGACCCTGCTGCCTCAACCTGGGCGTGCTCTACTAGTGCTGGTGGCTCAGTTGGGCCATGCCCTTGCTTTCCCCTCCGACCAACCCAATCCAAATCAGGAGGAACTGGCCCTGGAGCGGCCTGGGAAGCTGGGCAGAGGATATCCTGCCCTGTCGAAGTGTGGGTGAGATGACCTTGGGTTTATTTGCCCTCCCTCCATAACGGGTTTATTTTGCCTCCCTCCATAACACATTCACTCACATGAACACCCTAACCTCCGGGGAGTGGGAGAAAAGGCTGTGGGTCTCAGACCTGTGGGGATGTGAATGCCAGAAAAGAGGAGCGAGAGAAGAGTGAGATGCCGCCACTAGGGGTTGGGCGGATTCCCTCTGGTTGGGCTGTGTTAGATGCCAGGATGCTCCTCCTCCCACTCCTGAGAAAATGAAGTTCCTCACGCATCTGCTGGGCCGCCTCGGGTTCCCGAGTCCTCGTGGCTACACCCTTGGCTTCTGCGGGATCCCCGGTCCGGAGTGGGGAAATCTCACGGTGACCTGGCCTCAAGCGAGAAGGATACCTGGGCCACCGCCCCCTCAAAAGCTAGGCAGATTTGTATAGTTTATTTCGTTTTCGGTTTAATAGAATTTCCCGAAAACTTTGTCCAAAGGAGCTCTGGGAGCAGGCGCCTGGCGGCCCCTGCGCGGAATCCGGCGGTTGTCGGCGCTCTTCCCCCGACCCCATGGCTCACCTACCCAGGTGCAGCCGGGGCTAGACATACTTGGCCTCGGAACCTCCAGGTGTTGGAAGGTGGGGTCTGGGTCCTGCGCTCCTAGAGGACATATTATCCCTGAAGCACTCCCTTATCCTCACTTCACGCGGGAGACCCTCGCGGGGGCTGACACCCTTCTCTCTCCTAAACCCATTCACAGACTCCAGCAAGTGGCATTTTCTGGGAGCGAGTAACCAGCTTTTTATCGCTATCATAGACCTTGTCCGTGTCGGAGCGCCCTCGCGCCGGGGCCTGGTGAACTTTCTGGAAGCTCTCCGCCCGGTCCTCCAGCGAATCACCCCCACCCACTCCTCCCTCCAGCCTCAGCCTCCCGGTGGGCATCTTCCAGGGCTCTTCCGGGGCGCCAGGTTCTGCGGTCTTCGGGTGGGGGCCCGTTAGTCGCACCGTCCTTCCCCCACCCCCATTCCTGGGCTCAGAAGCTGATAGACTGACAAGACGCGGCCCAGTAGTCGTGCCAGGCGGAATGGGCTGCGTCCTGAGGCCGCGACGACCCGGGCCGAGTCTGCGCGCCCAGATTCCCGCCGGCCTGGAGGTTCGAAAGAGCAACGCAGAGACGCACGGTCAAGAGTGGAGGGAGAACGACAGGAACGCTCATTTTCCTCATTATTTAAACGAATTTTCTTTATTCTGAAGGAGAGAGAGAAAAGTAGAGAACAAAAACGAGAGTGACAGAACATTAGAAATTAGAGGGAAAAACAGAATTAGAGGGAAAAACAGAACTTTAGAAATTAGAGGGGAAAAGACACAGAGATAAAATCAGAGCTACAGAAACCGAGGGCGACTCGCCCGAGGGCCGCGGCATTAATTCCAGATGTTTGAAAGGCAACAGCCTTTCAAAAAGGAAACAAAATCTGAAACCTGTTACCTCTTCTGCAGAACGAGCTGTTCCTCAGGGCCGTGACATCAAGACAAGACGAGAATAAGGCGAAAGTTAAAACTGAAAACTGTCCGAGGGGGCCTCCCAGCAGTGACTTTGTCTCTTGCCGGGAAGGTCGGACAGACCGATGCGCGTCCTGAGTTTAAGAGAATCTGCGGAGACACAGAGGCCACTTTTTACTTTCGTTTAGAAAAGAAAAAAAAAGGGGGGGGGGCTATTTGTTCATTTGCAATAACGACAAAAAGAATCCCACCACCACGGAAAAGAAATCGAGATGCTGAAAAGTGAGGAAAAGAGAGCTCAAAAGGGGCTGAGGGACGCGAAAAGAGGGGCGGGGAGAGGAAAGGCTCAGGGCGCGAGGGACGTGGCGGGCACCGACAGGAAGTGCAATCTCATTTCTCTTCGCTGAGCTTCTCTTTAAACACGAAAATCTTCATAAACCACACTTACCCTCCAGGATGACTATCGTATCAGGACTTTTAAAATAAAGTAACTGAGCTTTAAGGAGACAGGAGGAAAAAACCAAAGCAGCCCCCAACTACCCCAAACTCGTCGGATTTGGGAGCGCGCCGAAACATAGCAGGAAGAAGGCAGGAAAAATCGTCCTGGCATTTATGCCTTGAACACCCTCCCTTCCCCACCCCCGCACCCTTGTCCCGCCCCTACCCCGACCGCAGTAATTGAATTGTCACCTGCCCCCCATCCCGCCTCAGGGCTCCAGAGCCACTTGGGAAGCTCGGCTTTGCCAAGCGCCCCAGGCCAGTAAGAGCGGTGCAGCCGAGCCGGCGCCCCAGAAGCCGAGAGGTTACACAAGTCTACGCAGAGAGGCGCACCGGACACGGTAATTAGGAGCAATTCACACGCTCTCGGGCGCACGGAAACTACTTGTCAGGAAATTTTCAACGCTCCTCCTCGCCCACTTTTTTCCACTCCTTTCCTGGCGCGCCCCCTCCCCTCCCAGAGGCACGCAGTGGAGCTTTTGGAGTTTCGAATCTTTCGGACACTGCAGAATGCGGGGCTCCCCGGGCGCGGGCCCGGCCAATCAGAGCGCCGTCTGCCTCCCCTGGCCAATGGCAGGCGCCACATTGTTGTCCAATTCTGTCTAATGGAGCCCTAAGGACCAACAATAGAGCGGGCGAGCGGCTCATTGAGAGTCTGGCAGCGCCGGGCAACTGGGCCCCGGCTGCGCGCAGCGTCCGGCGCGCACCGCGAGGGGACCCGGCACGGCGAGAGTCAGGTCGCGGGTTCCAACCACGCGGCCCGCAGACGAGCCTCCGACCCGGATTTCTGAAGGGAGGGTTGGACTGCGCTGCGTTCTGAGGGGTCCGGAAGTTCGGACATGGTGACTGAAGGAGGGTGACGTGGTCAGATAAGGGGCCGGGGGCAAAGGGAAGCGGCCAAGAGCTCCAGCGTCGCCAGTGGAGCCGGGAGGCGCGTGCAGCGCCAGCGGAGGAGGAGGATCCCGGAGCCCAAGGCAGGTAGTTGAGGGCCGCAGGGAGAGCAGTGGGTGGAGACCTGGTCTGCGGCCCCTGTTGAGGAGGCCTGGGCCCCGTGGGCCTTAGGGACGCCCGAAGGGTCTGGGAGAGGAGGCAACGCTCATAGAGAGGAGGTCTGGGACTCTCGGACGGAGACACAAGGACTCTGTCGCGGGCTCTGGCAGGGACGGGGAACGCGGGAAGCAGAGGAGACCGCGGCAGAAGCGGGGAGCTGGGCCTGCTTGGGCCTTATGGGGCTGCGGCGTGGGAGGGACTCTGGTGTCCGTTTATGGCCAGTTGCGAAGGCGACTCCCCTGGCTTGGTGCGGCCTGCTGGGCCATCCGTGTCCTAGGACCCCAACTCTGAGATCAGAACGCAGGAGCCTGCGCTCGAGAGGGGTCCCCTGGGACCCCAAGACGGGGAGGGCGTGTCTGACGACTCTGTCCCTAAACCCGGAGGGGAGGGGAGGGCAGTGTGAGGTGGTCTTCGAGAAAGATCCCCCTCCCGAAATGCCTAACTTTTCGCAGGATACGTCTTCCGCCCCGACTACTACTCCAGACTGCGAAGCTAAAAAACTGCACCACAGGTTTTACCCAATCCCCTCCCCCAGCATTTGCCTGTGGGGTTTTTTCTTACACATTCCCCTCTCCCAGGCGCGGCCCCTGGATCCCGGACACCCAGATCAGCTGCTTTTCACTGTTTTCCTTGCCCATGAAGCTCATCTTTGGGCTGGGTTTGCCTATACAGAAAGTTTCTTTGGCCGAATTTTTCTCTTTAATACTTCCCAGTCCTAAGCTAAATTCCACATACATTTTGTCTCTCACTCTCTGGAGGCCCTCACCGTGGAACTTTTGGCGCTCACATTTTTACGGGTCCCAGAGCCACTGGGCCTAACTTTGCCCAAGTTGTTTCCTCGTCCTCACTCTGCTTCCTAAAGCTATTCTTTCTGTTGTTGATTTTTCTCTCCAAAGCTTCTGCCCCAAACTGCATTAAAAATAAACAAACAAAAAGAAACAAAACTCCGGCCCAACCGGCCTTCACATCTGCGCCTTCACATCTCTCTCCTCTTCACCCTTCCACCAAACTGACCGTTTTGCTCCGGGTTTTCCTGTTTTGCCCTTGGCATCAGCCTAACTTCTGGGCCAAAACTGTCGCTCTAATCCCAGTCCCGTCAAACGAGCATTTCTCTCACCCGTCTCACCCCAATTAGGCTAAGCTTTGGGGTATCATCTTAACTTTTCCAAATTCTCATTACAGCCATCTGAATCAGTGACTTTCACACTTTACATGTCTCTTTATTTTTTCCAGCGGAATCACTAATTCAGACAAAATCTTACCCCTAGCGTGTATATCAGGTCTAAGAGCAGCCATGGCCAGACTGGGGTGAAGGTGCTAGGGCTCACAAGGAGGTTCCGACTGCACCTCCTCCCAGCAATTCTGGCCCCTCTAGCCCAGCCTCCGCGGCCCAAATTTCCCTCTCCAGCTTGGGTTCCTCAAGGCGGCGCTTTGGCCTAGCGCGCGGTGTGCTCCTCACCAGGTCTCTCCCCTCTCCCACCTTCTTTCCCGTCAGGTCCTGTCATGGAGCTGCGCTCGGAGCTGCCCAGCGTGCCCGGCGCGGCGACGGCGGCGGCGGCAACAGCGACGGGGCCGCCTGTGGCGTCGGTGGCGTCGGTGGCGGCAGCCGCGGCGGCCGCTGCATCGCTACCGGTGAGCGTGGCAGGCGGCTTGCTGCGGGGGCCGCCACTGTTGCTGCGGGCAGCCGAGAAGTACCCGCGGACCCCCAAGTGCGCGCGCTGTCGCAACCATGGCGTGGTGTCGGCCCTCAAGGGCCACAAACGCTACTGTCGCTGGAAGGACTGCCTGTGCGCCAAGTGCACGCTCATCGCGGAGCGCCAGCGTGTCATGGCGGCGCAGGTGGCGCTGCGCAGGCAGCAGGCGCAGGAGGAGAACGAGGCGCGCGAGCTGCAGCTGCTCTACGGCACTGCCGAGGGGCTGGCGCTGGCCGCCGCCAACGGCATCATCCCCCCGAGGCCCGCCTACGAGGTCTTCGGTTCAGTGTGCGCCGCCGACGGCGGGGGACCTGGAGCGGGAGCGCCCGCGGGGACCGGAGGCGGAGCAGCTGGCGCAGGGGGCTCAGGTGAGAGCGCGGCCAGGCCGCAGGTAGGGGCAGCAGGATCGTAGCTCTGGGGCACGGGGCCCAGGGGCTTGTCTCGGTTCAGAAAGAGTAGAACCCCCGTGTCCAGTCGCCGCGACTGCTAGGGTTCACCGCTCGCCCAGCCTCGGGTATGGAGCGTGGGTACAGAAACTCTCCTTTCTCCCGCTTCTGGAGCATTTGCACTTTACCCCTTTCTCCTGCATCGGGCCGAAATGTACACGCTTTAATTTTTTTACTCGCCTCTACCCAAACGCAGGCAGGTCCCTGCTTCTTTGCTTCGTCTTCTCCCCAGGTGGAAACCTGCGCATCTTCGTTCGCTCTGCGCTTCTCCACAGGCCCTTTCCCTCTGCTCCTTCCCAACTCCCTTAAGGAATCCCCCCCCCTTTAACTGACACCCTAGGTTTTGAGACGCCCTAGGTTCTGAGACGCCCTAGTTTCTTTTCCCCTTCTCGCGTTCCTAACGCCCTCTGGACAACCGCTTGCTGCGCCCTCCCTCCTTCTAGTTTCTTCCGCACCCTCCCTGGTTTCTCAGGTCTGCTTTCCTATGTCTTTTCCTCTTCGCTTCCTACTGCCTGCCTAGCACCACCCTCTTTTTCTGGACCCCCGTGGCTTTTTGTGGGGAGGGAAGAAATTAGGCCAGAGCCGTTGAGGGAAAGGAGGGATCCGCTCTAAACTTGGGAGGGAAGAACTTCTCAGGTCTCAATTTTGGAAAGGGTGGATTAGAAACAGGGGCTGTACTTCTGCCTGTAGAGAAGCTTGGGACCTCCTAGATAACCAAGGCGCCTTTCCTTACAGGCTGCACTGCCAGGGCAGGCATTTTCTATACAGTGGGCTCTTCTGTACAGCGTGGTTAGGCAGAAGTTATGTTGTCTCTTGTTTGAACCCTGGACCTGGCCACTTCTCCACGGCAGGGCAGGACTGGAAGGGCAGTTAAGGGTGGAGGTGTTGGGGCACAGACGTGGGGAAAGCAGCACTGAACATCGAGTTTACAGGGCACAGGTAGTTGGGGTTCTGAGGAGTACAGAAAGAGAGGGAGCCCTGGGGTCAGGGCTGTAGGGGCTCAGAGCGGAAGGAATGCTAGAGCAAAAAGAAAGAGGGGCACTGGAGCCTAGTGAATAAGGGCTGTGGGGCTGAGGGAGAGGAAACTGAGATCCAAAGGGCCGAGGTGCTGTGACTGCTGTCTTCTAGCTAACCGCTCCTCACGACACGTTTTCTCCCCTCCCAGAGGCCAAGTTGCAGAAGTTTGACCTGTTTCCTAAGACGCTGCTGCAGGCAGGCCGCCCGGGCAGCCCGCTGCCGCCGCCGGTGAAGCCCTTATCACCCGACGGCGCAGACTCGGGGCCCGGGACGTCGTCCCCAGAGGTGCGGCCCGGCTCAGGCTCGGAGAACGGCGATGGCGAGTCCTTTTCTGGTTCGCCCCTAGCTCGGGCCTCCAAAGAGGCAGGTGGCAGCTGCCCAGGCAGCGCTGGCCCTGGCGGCGGCGGCGAGGAGGACAGCCCGGGCTCCGCTAGCCCTCTGGGCTCTGAATCCGGTTCAGAGGCTGACAAAGAAGAGGGTGAGGCCGCGCCGGCGCCAGGGCTGGGCGGAGGCTCGGGTCCACGGCAGCGGACGCCGCTGGATATCTTGACACGCGTGTTCCCAGGCCACCGGCGAGGCGTCCTGGAGCTGGTGTTGCAGGGCTGCGGCGGCGACGTGGTGCAGGCCATCGAGCAGGTGCTGAACCACCACCGTGGGGGCCTGGCGGCCGGCCTGGGCCCTGCGGCGCCCCCAGATAAGGCCGCCGTGGGTGCTGCAGCAGCTGCAGACGACGCGTGGCCCAGCCGCGTCGACGCCGCCGCCGCCGCCGCCGCCGCCGCCGGGGGGCCTGGGCTGCCTGCGCCGCTGCAGGCGGGGCCCGCCGCACCTCCGCACCACAGACCCTTGCTGGCCGGCGCCATGGCGCCTGGGGCGCTGGGCTCGCTGAGCAGCCGCTCGGCCTTCTCGCCGCTGCAGCCCAACGCCAGTCACTTCGGTGCCGACGCGGGCGCCTACCCGCTGGGCGCGCCGCTCGGCCTCAGCCCCCTGCGCCTGGCCTACTCCGCGGCGGCGGCGCACAGCCGCGGTCTGGCCTTCATGGCGCCCTACTCCACTGCCGGCTTGGTGCCCACGCTCGGCTTCCGCCCACCCATGGACTACGCCTTTAGCGATCTCATGCGTGACCGCTCGGCCGCCGCTGCTGCGGCGGTGCACAAGGAGCCGACCTACGGCGGCGGCCTGTACGGGCCTATGGTCAACGGCGCTCCGGAGAAGCAGTAGGGCGAGGGGCCTGGCAGCCGGCCGGTCCCCAAACAGGAACCCCAGCCCTGTTCCCGCGGGCCATCGACCCCTCTTCGCCCAGCGCTCTCTCTGCGCCCTGGCTGGGCGTCTTCTCACTCTAAGGTGGTTTTTGGGTTTTGTTTAGGAGGGTGGGTGGGGAAGGCTGAGCAAAGGGGGAGCAGCTACAGACAGGTGCAGGTGTTCTCGGAGGGGGTGCGCGGCCTGGGTCCTCATCTCCTACCTCCGGATCCCTCTTCCAGCCTCACCCGGCCCCCTTTCCAAAAGGCTGGGAATTCATGAGAATTCAGAGGCTGCGACAGCAGCGCAGGCTCCTGCGGCTCCTTAGCTGTGCTCATCCGGCTCTCAGTGGATGGCAGGATAATCCGAGAGTCTTTTCTGTGTCTCCCCAGCCCTCACTTTTAAAAAATTTAAATATTCGCTCTAACAAATATAAATTTAGGATGTATAAATCTCTTGGCACTGAGTCTTTGGGACACACATATATATCGATACAATTGTAAAAAAAAAAAAAGGAAACAAGTTTTAAGGTGCACTTTCCTCGTTGCGGTATTTGTCGCTCTCTTTGTTGCTTATGCCGATAAGCATGGGTTTCCTTGGTGCAGTGTGTTTTTATATATGTATAAATCTATATATAATCTATACATATATATATACAAGCCAGTGTATAATGTTATAAAATGGAATTCTAAGTTATTAATTGTAATCTGTAGGTGACCTCGGTATTAACGTGAAAAACATTCAAAACAAGCAAAAAAAGGGACAAAATGGAAAAAAATTAGACTATGCGCGCATTGTACTTATCAGGTTTAGAGATTAAATATATTGGAAACTCGGGATGAATCCTGCCCACCTGCCCCTCTTGCCTGCGGCTGGTCTGTCCCTAAGGAGCCGTCAAGGTGCGCACTGAAGCAGGAACAGAGCGACGTGTGACTGAGCCAGAACCGCCCGCTCGCGGGCCCATCCTCGCCTCCCGGGACTCGCCAAACGCCCTGACTGAAGGGCCCGCAGCGGAAAACGCTGCTGCAGAGCAGCACTTTGTGCTTTCCTTTGCATAGATATGAGCTAGAAATAAATGTTATTTTCTAAGAAAACAATGCCGAATCCCGTCCCGCTCCTCGAGAAATAGGGGGTGGGGGTGGGGCGCTGGGGAAGGTCGTGATTTCCCACTCAGGCCGCGGCGCTAAGGAGACGCTTGTCCGAGGTCCCGTGGGATCTCCGACCCTCGGGGCTACTGGGAGAGGAGACTTCCTGTGGTACTCGGAAGACCTATCCCACCAGAGTGGCGCGGGGCTCACAACTCCCGAAGGACCCGCGACCGCTGAGCAGAGGGAACACAGTGTGTACCCCAGCTTGGGCACCCTTGCGGAGGGGTCACCTTGCCCCGGCTCTTAGTTTTTGGATCGTCGGCCCCAGTCTTCACAGGGATCTTGCAAGGCTGGGGGCCCAGTCCCTGCTCTTTCCGAGGTGTAGATTTGGATGTACACACTGCGCGCTCCCCATCTCAGATTTGGAACCACAGGCAACGAAGGCGACGGCTGGGCAGGGTGGCTGCTACCATTCTTCTGACAAGGGCTACAGCCTGGGAGTTATGGGGTTCTGGGGAGTTGGGGGTGGCATGCTGCCTTCCTTGAAAAAGTGTAATTTGGGAGAGGGGCCGTGAGCACGCGACTTCGAGCCAGACCTCGTCTCTCACCCTTTTCACCTTCCCTCCTCACGCCGAGCTGAGCAAATTAGCCGCTCCTGGGCCGACCCTCTCCTTCAACCTCCAGTCCCTCCCGCTCCCCGCAGGGTGACTCCCCCGCTCCAGGAAAAGAATGACTCCTCCCCTCGGCTGGGTCCGGCGACATCCCAAGGTAAACTTCTGGGGCCGGCTCGAGTTCCGCCAGGCAGTGAAACTTAATAGCAGGACAAGAAAACGGTTTAATAAAGAAGGGCTTTAATGGGGAACTAATTTGATTGAGTTGCCTAATTCCACTTTAATTGGAAAGGGGGTTTGGCTGTCTGGTGATGAAGTGCGAGCGCGATGAGATGAAAGTGGGGGAGAAGGACCCAGAGAAGAAAGATGCCGGCAAGAGCGATGGACGAAAAGGGGATAAAAAAGGAGAAAAAAGAGGGCGAGAGGAGACAGGAGAGGGAAGAGTTAGAAAGAAAAGAGGCAGGCGGGAGAAAGCGTGCGGAAGCTTCTGGGAGTGTAAACTTTCTTGCCCTTGGCCGCTGCGCCCTCTAAAGCCCCGGTGCGCTCCCCCTACCCCAGGTTTTCGGAGCCTCCCAGCCTCTCCTCGTAGGGCGGTTCCGGCCGCCTCATCCCCGTCCTCTGCCCCACCGCACCCAAGGTGTTGGTTTCGGGAAGGACCTACGCTGGGTCCCCCGAGGCTCCTCGGTTCCTGCCGATGCTCTGGCCGGACCCGAGGGGGCGGCCTGTGGACCCGCGTTACTCATTCCCAAGAACATCTGGAGCGTCACAGACTTAAAGACTATTATATTAGTTCATCCTCGCAGCAAACCGGGGTGAATCCAGAGAGTTGCTTATTACCGGCCCCATTTTACAGAGGAGGAAACTGAGAGCCATCTGGTCCAGGGAATTGTCCAACTTTCCGGGACCCTGGATCACTTCGCCTCTCCACCGCCCCTAGTGGGTCTCCTCCTCTCATGAAGCGGGGTCTGCTGGCCGAGAGTGAGAGGTTTGCGGAAACTCTCCTTCCGTGAACATAGGAGGCCCAGGGAGAAGCAGCGTGCCCCCAAGCGCCTTGGCCTCAGCTCCAGGCTGTCAGCACCTTCGGGTAGAGCTCAGGAAGGCTTCGTGAGCGGTGGGCGTTCTAGGAGTGAGGTAGTGGGGCACCCGAGGTCCCCCGTTCCTGGGCCCGGAGCGTCTCCATGGCCCAGGCCCCGCGGTGGAAGCCCAGGTCGGTCAGTCACAGCCCTTGGCGCCTGGGAACGTACTGCGCCCACGGTGCGCCCCTGACCCGCTGCCCATTGCACAGTCAGGAACAGGGAGGCGCAGAGACCTGCAATGACCGGCCTGGGGTCGCACACCCAGGCCCCAGGGAGCCAGTATCTGTACTCCAGACTCTGGCCTGGTAGCAGGGGCAGGGGGGCGATTGAGTCTCCGCTTCTGGGAGCTTCCGCAGCCGGCAGGAGGGGACTGCGGCCTGAGCTCCGCTGGGATCAGCGCTAGGGAGGAGTGTGGGGTACCCCGGTCTCGGGCGGCGTTCCCACCCTGGAAAGAGAGGGCAGTGGCGGCAGCGTTACCTCTTTTCCTCCTGGGAGAAGGGGAAACGGGAATCTCCTTCCTGACCGCTACTGTCCACGTTTATTCCTGAATGCTTCCCAAAGCAAGCTGGAGCCGACTCGGTCTGAGCAGTGGGAGGATGCGAACCCGGGCCGCCGCGGGTAGCTCCGACTGGTGGGGAGCTTCCCCGCCCCACCCCTCCTGCACAACAGCAGCAGCAGCGACACACTAGCACCTTCTGTATGCCAAGTCCTGTACCAACCATGTTCCCCAGCAGAATCCTGCTCGGTGGGCCAGGAAGAGCCTAGAGCCGGGGTCCAGGCTCAATCGCTGGCTGGGGTTATTCTTTCTTGAATTACTTCAGTCAGCAAATATTTGCTAAGTACTTAATGTATGTCAGGCCCAGTTCTAGGACCCTGGGATACACAAGTGCACACAAGGGAGATCTGGCCGGGGAAGGCCACTTCCGCAAGGCACTCTGCCTCAATTAAATGGTGGAATAGTGGGGTCTGTCTCTCTGGATGCTGTGAGGAGTAAATGAAATAATATCCAAAAGCTCTCAGCTCAGTGCTTGCTCACTAGGTGTTCACTATTACAATTCTCATATCCTTTGGTGTGGATGGTGTGGCCCCATTTAACAAAGAAGTCAACAGCTCAGAGGGATCCAGTGACTGGAGCAAATGGGGCTTCTGAGCCCTCTAAAGTGTCACAGATTATGGGAGACACCCCGCCTAAGGCAAGGGGCCACACAGACAGATGGGAGAGCGTGGTTCTGTAAATGCCTCAGAGGAAGTGAGCTGAGTCCTGAGGAGGTTGGTGAGGGGCAGCATTGTGATCTGTTGTAGGACATTGGGGAGGCAGTCAGGGGTCCCGCTGGACTAGCAGATGGAAAGGGAGGAGGTGGAGACAGGCTGTTGAGGTTGCACAGAGTCAGACGTTAGGTCATGGAGAAACTTGAGTGCCAGAAACTGGGCCTGGACTTCAGTACTGAGAGCTGTTGACAACGGGACCTGGTAAGATTTGCATCTGGATTTGGTAGATTATTTGGAGACAGGCCCAACCTCTCCCTCAGGAGCCGTGACAAATGGTTGTGCCAAAAAGGGATCAGTGGAAGTAGGGAGAGGGAGAAAAGAGGGCCCCTTCAAGAACTGCTAGGAGCCAAACTACCCACTGTTGATCCAGTGTTGGGAGTAAGTAAGGAAGAGGGCTGATTTCCACCTGGAGCAGAGACAAGATTTGATGGCGGGGAGAAGAAGCTTCGTGTTCAACTTCAGAGTTTGAGGGACATGTAGGTCTTCTCAGCATGGACACCAAATGGTAGAAAGAGTCAGCTGTTATCTTGGAGGAATGAGGTGGCCCAGCTCCCTGTCCCCTGAGGACACAGGACTCCCTTAGTGGAGCCCATGGGCCTGGGAGAGGTGTTGAGACCCTCTCACCATGTCTCTTGGTGCCAAGAGGACTGGCCTCTTAACATAACAGACCATGCCTCTTCCATGAAGGTCACCTCTGCCTGGAAAGCTCTTCTCGTTTTTCTCTTCTTTAAGGACTCTCCTCACCTTCCCTAGGGTCCAGTTTCACAGGTAGACTCACTGTGAACCAATGAAGCTTAAACTTCAGGGCTCCACACCTGGCATGTTCCTCTCAAGGTCTTGCACTTTGTGCATACAGTCAAGCGACTTCTATCTTAAAACTTCAGGCCCCATTAAAAACTGCAACTGCCCGCTGGGCATGGTGGCTCACGCCTGTAATCCCAACACTTTGGGAGGCTGAGGCAGGCGGATCACGAGGTCAGGAGATCAAGACCATCCAGGCTAACACAGTGAAACCTCATCTCTACTAAAAATACAAAAAATTAGCCGGGCATGGTGGCAGGCACCTGTAGTCCAAGCTACTTGGGAGGCTGAGGCAGAAGAATGGCGTGAACCCAGGAGGCGGGGCTTGCAGTGAGCAGAGATCACTGTACTCCAGCCTGGACAACAGAGCGAGACTCTGTCTCAAAAACAAAAAACAAACAAAAAACAAAAAAACTGCATCTGCCACTGCCCAGTTTAGCTGCACCCTCATGGCTGCCTGTTCCTGTTAACTATTGTTGCATAACAAATGACCCTGAAATGTAGTGGTTTAAACAATAACCATTTTATTGCATCATTTATGGGTCAGAAATTTGGGCAGAGCTTTTTTTATTGTTGACCAAGATCTCTTGGTGGTATTCAGCTGGTAGATGTGTTGGTCTGGAGACCCCAAGACAGGTTCAGTCACATCTGTGATTCCTTGGTATGGATGGCTGGAAGGCTGGGCTCAGCTGGACAGTTGATTGGAGCACTTCCATCATGGTATCCTCAAGATATCAGACTTTTTACATGTTGACTCAGGGTTCCAAGGCAGATGTTCCAGAGAGCAAAGTGGAAGCTACAGGGCCTTTTATGACCTAACCTCATAGGTCAGAGAATGTGACAAGAGTGTATTATTTGCAAGTTATTGACTCTCAAGTCACACTGACTTAAAAAGAAGGAATTTTCTCCTTTTTTTCTTCTTCATGGTAATGACAATAATAATTATAGACATTTACAACTGAAATTTCCAGAGTTTATCTCTGGAAAAGTCGGAACCAGGTGCTCAAACACCATCAACTGAGCTGCTTTTCTCCATCTCTTAGATCAGCTGTACTCTAAGTTGTCTTCATATCAGGCAGACTTTCTCCAAATGAAGTGCAAATGGCCATTGGTGACCTCAGGCTTGCATTCTACTTTCTCTTTTGTAGTAGACTCATTGACTAGACTTTTGTCATCTTTCCATCCCAGAACCAATAGGGAATGGGACCTACTGGAAAATCAAGCTTTCAGGATAGCTGAATGTTTGCCCATTTCAGCCCTAAATTGTCTTTGTCTTAGCATTTTAGGGTAAGAGCTTTAGAAGGATGTTACTTGCTTTTCCATGTTCTTTTCCGAAGGCTACTGAGATGCTCCAGGTGTTCTTTGATTCAGCGTCTTGTGATGTGCCATAACAGAGTCGTGGGATCTTATTAGAGTGAGGGTTCACTGGCTTTGGCACTAAGAAATGCTTTTCCAGTGTGTTTTTTATTTTAAAAACTTTTTACTATGAAAAATTTCAAGTGTATAAGAAAGTAGAGAATAGTATAATAAATCTGAATATTTGTATACTAATCTCATAACTTTAATAACTATTTAACATTTTGTCATATTTATTTCACCTTAGTTTTCCTTTGATGTATTTAAAAGCAAATTACAGACATTGTGAAATGTCACTCTGAAATACCTCAATGTGAATACCTCATCACTAAAACGTGAGGATATTTTCTTACAAAGCCACAGTACATTAGTATACTATCAATATTAAAAATAATCCCTTTATATAACCTAATATTCAATATATATTAACATTTATCTAATTGCCCCAGTTGGAAATTTTTTTAAATTTAACAATTGATTTGTTCAAACCAGGATTTGGTTGCCTATAGCAGACACTGTCAGAGCCCCACCCGTAGCCCTTGACCTTTCAGTCTACTGATTTCCAACTTCCAAGATCAGTTTCTCTGTGCCAAAGGGCTTCTATTCTAGAACCACAAAAGGGAGACATACCAGGGTTGTAATGATGGGACCCATCCTTCCTAGAGAAGGCAATAAGAAGGCTCGTTGTTTGTAGAATATTTAAAACAATAATAATACTAAAAGTTGGTCTGCTTTTTAAGTTATTACCATTTCCCAGCAATTCTGAACAATGTCAGAGATAAAATATTTCTCACCTCAAAGAACTTTTGTTGGTCTAAACAGGCCCTGCAGTGATTGTTGAGTTTAAATTATGTGTGTGTGTATACACACAAACACACACACTATACATATTTCTTTATTTATATATATCACAAATTGTCACAACTATTATTTTTTGTTTACGTACAGTAAAATTGACTTTTTCATAGTACATTTCTAAAAGGTTGACCGTATGTATATATTTATCTAACCACCATCACAATCAGGATTCAGAACAGCTCTGTCACCCCAGAAAGCTTCCCTGTGCTGCCCCTTTATAATCAAATCCTCCCCCCTACCCCTAATCTCTGGAAACCACTGATCTGTTCCCTGTTTCTCTGTCTTTACAGTTTCTTCTTTTCCAGAATGTTATACAAATGAAACCAGACAGTATGTAGCCTTTTGAGACTGGCTTCTTTCACTTAGCATAATCCCTTTGCGATCCATCCAAATTATTGCACGTGTCAATAGTCCATTCCTTTTTATTGCTGAATAATATTCAGTTGTATTGATCTATCACTATTTGTTTATTCATTCACAGTTACAGGACATTTGGGTTGTTTCAGTTTTTGGTAATTACAAATGAGGTTGCTATAAACGTTCACAAACAGGCTTTTGTGTGATCACAAGTTTTCGCTTCTCCAGGTAAATACCTCCCCAATCCTAGAGGAGTTTCTGCATCGAATCTACTTTCTGTCTCTATAAATTTGTTTAGTCTGGACAATTCATATAAATAGAATTATACAATTTATGGCCTTTTGTGACTGGCTTCTTTCACTTAGCATAAATGTTTTCAAGGTTCATCCCTGTTGTATCATGCATCGGTTCATCATTCCTTTTCATAGCCAAATAATATTCCTATATATATTCATATATATATATATATATAATTTATCCATTCATCAGTTGATGGACATTTGGGTTGTTTCCACTTTTTGGCTATTATGAATACTTCTGCTATATGTGTTCATTCTCTTGGTATATACTTAGGAGTGGAATTGCTGGGTCATTTTTCTCTATGTTAATCTTTGGAGGAACTACCAAATTTTTTTTTTACACAGCAGCTGCATCATTTTACATTCCCACAAGCAGTGCAATATGGTATCAGTTTCTTCACATCCTCACCAACACCTGTTTTTATCTGTTTTTGTTTTTTTTTTTCGAGACAGGATCTCACTCTGTCGCCCAGGCTGGAGTGCAGTGGTGCAGTCACAGCTCACTGCAGCCTCGACCTCTGGGCTCAAGTGATCCTCTCACATCAGCCTCCTGAGTAGCTGGGACTGCAAATGCATGCCACCGTGCCCAGCTAATTTTTAAATTTTTTGTAGACATGGGGTCTCCTTATGTTTATTTGCCCAAGCTCATCTTGAACTGCTGGACTCAAGCAATCCTCCTGCCTCAGCCTCCCAAAGTGATGGCCTTACAAGTGTGAGCTACTTTGCCTGGACATTTTTATCTATCTTTTTAATTCTAGCCATCCTAGTGGGTGTGAAGTGGCATCTCGTTGTGGTTCTGATTTGTATTTCCCTGACAATTAATAATGTTGAACATCTTTTCATGTGTTTTCTGGCCACTTGTGTATCTTCTTTGGAAAAATGTCTATTCAAGTCATTTGACTACTTTGAAATTGTATTTTTTTTTTACTACTGAATCGTAAAATTTATTTATATCTTCTAGATACAAGCCTCTTATCAGTTAGATGACTTACAAGTATTTTCTTCCATTCTGTGGTTTGTCTTTTCACTTTCTTGGTGGTGTCTTTTGTAACACAAAAGTTTTGAGTTTTGATGAAGTCCAGTTCATCTGTTTTTTTTTTCTTTTGTAGTTTGTATTTTTTGTATTACATCTAAGAAGCCACTACCTAGACCAAGGTCATGAAGATTTACATCTAGATTTTCTTCTTCAAAGAGTTTTATAGTTTTAGCTCTTATATGTAAGTTTTTAATTCATTTTTAGTTAATTTTTGCATATGTATGAGATATTATCTTAATTCATTCTTTTACATGTGAATATCCAACGGTCCCAGCATTATTTGTTGAAAAGACTATACCTCAAAGGATAAATGCCTGAAGGGATAGATACTCCACTTCCCATGATGTGATTATTACACATTGCATGTCTGTATCAAAATATCTCACATACCAAATAAATATATACCTGATATGTACCCACAAAAATTAAAAGTACAAAGATTTTAAAAAGAAAGATTATTCTTTCCCCATTGAATTGTCTTGGGACCCTTGTCAAAACTCAGTTAACCCTGAGAAGAGCTTTGACAATGAAAGAAAACAAAAAACCTAAATGAAAAGAATCCCTCAATTAACCATAAATGTGAGGGCTTATTTCTGAACTCTCAGTTTATTCTATTGATTTATATACCTATCTTTATACCAGTACCACACTGTATCAATTACTGTATCTTTGTAGTAAGTTTGAAATTGGGAAGTATGAGTCTTCCAACTTCTTTTCCAAGATTGTTTTGACTACACAGTGTCCCTTGAATTTCCATATAAATTTTAGAATCAGCCTGTCAATTTCTACAAAGTAGTTAGCTGGAAACTGATGTGAATAGCATTAAATTTGTAGATCAACTTGAGAAGTATTACCATCTTAACAATATTAAGTCTTTCATCCAGGAACATGGGATGTCTTTCTATTTATTAGGGTCTTCTTTAATTTCTTTCAACAATACTTTGTAGTTCTCAGAGTATAAATTTTGCATTTCTATTGCTAAATATATTCCTAAGTATTTTACTGTTTTTGATATTGCTGTAAATTGAATTGTTTCCTTAATTTCATATTTGGATTGTTCTTTACAAATGTATAGAAATATGATTGATTTATGAATATTGACCTAGTATCCTGCAACCTTACCAAACTAATTTGTTAGTTCTAATTGTTTTCAGTGGGTTCCTTAGGATATTCCTTTTACAAGATTATGTCTTTTGAAAACAGGTAGTTTCACTTATTCATTTAAAATCTGGATGCCTTTTATTTCATTTTCTTGCCTAATTTTCCTGGCTAGAACCTTCAGTAAAATGTTGAATATAAGCAGCAAGACTGGATATCCTTGTTTTGTTCTTGTTCTTCAGGTGAAATCATTTAATCTTTCCCCATTAAATATCATGTTAGTTGTTATTTTTTGTAGATGTCCTTTATCAGGTTGAAGAAGTTTCCTTCTATTCTAGTTTACTGAATGTTTTTATTATAATGAGGTGTTAAATTTTATATATTTTATAAAATGTTTTTTTCCTGCATCAGTTGAGAAAATCATATGGTTTTTATCATTTACTCTATTGATATGGTGTATATATATATATATATATATATATATATATTTTTTTTTTTTTTTTTTTTTTTTTTTTTTTTTTGCGATGGAGTCTTGCTCTGTTGTCCAGGCTGGAGTGAAGTGATGTGATCTCGGCTCACTGCAACCTCCACCTCCTGGGTTCCAGTGATGATTCTGCCTCAGCCTCCCAAGTAGTTGGGACTACAGGCACATGCCAGCATGCCTGCCTAATTTTTGTACTTTTAGTAGAGATGGGGTTTCACCATGTTGGCCAGGTGATCTCAAACTCCTGACCTCAGGTGATCTGCCTGCCTCAGCCTCCCAAAGTACTGGGATTACAGGCATGAGCCACTGCACCCTGCCATGATATGGTATATTCTATTAATTGGTTTTCAAATTTTAAAGCAACTTCATAATCTTGGGTTAAATCCCACTTGCTCATGGTGTATAATACTTTTTGTATGTTGCTGAATTTAGCCTGTTAGTATTTTGCTGAGAATTTTTAAATCTATATTCATAAAAGATACTGGTCTATAGTTTTCTTTTCTTGTGATGTCTTTGTCTGGTTTTAGTACCAAAATAATCTGGTATCATAGAATGAGTTGGGAAGTGGTCCCTCCTCTTTGATTTTTTGGAAAAGTTTGTGAAGAATTAGTATTAATTCTTTAAGTGTTTGGCAGAATTCGCCAATAAAACCATCTAGGTCTGGGGTTTTCTTTATGGGTAGGTTTTGATTACTAATTCAATCTCTTGTTATAGACCTGTTCAGATCTATAACATATATCTATAATAAGGAATTTGTTCCTTATTATTTCTGTAAGGTCAGTAGTAATGTCCCTTCTTTCACTCCTGCTTTTAGCTTTTTTATTTTTATTTTTTGAGACAGAGTCTTGCCCTGTCACCCAGGCTGGAGTGCAGTAGCACAGTCTCGGCTCACTGCAACCTCCACCTCCTAGGTTCAAGTGATTCTCCTGCCTCAGCCTCCCAAGAAGCTGGGATTAGAGACATGTGCCACCATGCCTGGCTAATTTTTGTATTTTTAGTAGAGATGAGTTTTCACCATATTGGCCAGGTTGGTCTTGAACTACTGACCTCAATTTGATCTGCCCTCCTCGGCCTCCCTCCCAAAGTGCTGGGATTACAGGCATGAGCCACCATGCCTGGCCCCCCTATTTCTTTCTTTTCTTTTTTTTTTTTTTTTTTTAAGATTTATACCTATTTGGTCTCCAATTGTTCATTACTATTATATAGATGAACATTTCATATTTGAATGCTGACATTGTATCAAGAACTTTGCTGCATTCACTTATTATTTATAGGAGCTTTGCTTGTATATTCCTTGGAATTTCCTACATGGTTAATCTTGTCATCTGTAAGTAAGGATAGTTTTACTACAGTATTGAATAGGAGTGATGAGAATAGAGATTCTTGCTTTGTCCCATTTTGGAGTGCAAACATTCAGTCTTTCCCCATTAAATATGGTATTAGTACTGGGTGTGGTGTTCTGGGATTCAGGCTGCCTCTAAGTCCAGGCTGGGAGATATTGGAGGAATAAAAACCAAGAAAACTCACCACTATAGCAATGATTCTTCAAGTTTTGGTTTCCTTTCCCAATCCTCTTGTTACTATTTACTTTTCAGAGTCCTCAGATCGCTGCTTCATGCATTCTTTCCAGGATTTTTTGTTGCATTTAATGTGAGAGACAGGGCTAAATGTGCTTACTTCATCTTAACTGGAACCGGAACCAAATGATCACTTTTAAATTACATATTCTTCACTATGCACTGTATTCTACATGGAAGTTCATTCAGAGGAATCCCAGTTAAACAGTTGGTCCCAACACATGTAGACTCAGCATATAAGCCACATTTATTTCAAGAGTAAGTTTGTAAAGGTTTGGAACTGTGGGCGCTTGCTCAGTGTGCAGTTTGTTTCTCCAACCTCTGTTGTACTACATATTCCTATTTAAATGGTAGATATGAAATAAATGATAGTTTAGTGACTTGAAGGTGAAGAATCAGAACCTGAGTTATTTAAATCTGTTACTTTATGTGCCCTCTTAGAGATTTTATTTGTGTTAAAAATTTAAAACAGTAAAACAAAGTGTGAATTCTGAGGCACAATATTTTTGTTTGGTATGCATGGTGCAGTTCATGTAAAAATGGGAGATATTAATCCCAAATCGTTACTTGTCTCTTTTATAATCATTCTCTGAATCTTTATGGTGTTCACACTTTCAGAAGTGTTTTTAATGTGTGACATTTGTTCAAACTTTGTTAAAAAAATTATCCATTCAGTTGGTGATTACAGAAGAAACAGAAGTGTGATGTGACCGTGGGGAAGCAAAATAGAACAAGGAAGTACGCAACCATGAAGCAAATCCTTAGTCTCAGAGATCAGAGGCTTAAAGAAAAGGATAGATTAAAACCTAAAAAGAAAGAAAAGAAGGATCCCAACACATTAAAGGAAAGGGAAGTTCCCCAACACCCTTCCCACTTATTTTTCCAATATAATACACAGCTCGGCCCACCTTACCACATCCTCATTGATACCAACTTTATCAACTTTTCCATAAAAGCCAAACTGGACTTAATGCAGTCAATGATGGACTGTCTGTATGCCAAGTGTATCCCTTGTATAACTGATTGTGTAATGGCTGAAATTGAGAAATTGGGGCAGAAGTATAGAGTGGCTCTAAGGATCACCAAGGATCCAAGATTTGAACTATTACCATGTGCACACCAAGGAACCTATGCAGATGACTGCTTAGTACAGAAATAACTCAGCATAAGTGTTACATTATTGCCACAGTTGACTGGGACCTTAAAAGAAGAATCTGTAAGATTCCTGGAGTTCCTATCATGTACATTTCTAACCATAGATACAACATTGAATGGATGTCCGATGATTATGGAGCCCCTTGATTCTAATTCTTACAAGACACATTTCCTCTGCCTTTCCTTCCACCAACTTTCTCTTGTTGCCAGTTCATTACTCATGCAATAGCATGAATTATTATTCTGTTGACCTATTTGCTCTATTATCAGATGGGGATGGTTAAATACGCTGACTCTTTTTTTTTTTTTTTTTTTTTGAGATGAAGTTTCGCTCTTGTTGCCCAGGCTGGGGTGCAGTGGCGTGATCTTGGCTCACTGCAGCCTCTGCCTCCCAGGTGCGGGCGGTTCTCCTGCCTCAGCCTCCCAAGTGGCTGGGATTGCAGGCATGCACCACCATGCCCAGTGGGCTTTTTTTTTTCTTTTTTTGGTATTTTTTAGTAGAGACAAATATTTTTGTATTTTTAGTACAGAAAAATATGCCTTGGCCTCCTAGGGTGCTGGGGATTGCAGGCATGGCCACCATGCCTGGCCTGCTCACTTTTTGATGCTGTTTTGAAATTGATATTTTGCCTCATAAAAATTTAGGCCAGGCACCGTGGCTTGTACCTGTGGTACCAGCACTTTGGGAGGCCGAGGTGGGCGGACCACCTGAGGTCAGGAGTTCGAGACCAGCCTAGACAACGTGGTGAAACCCCATCTCTACTAAAAATACAGAAAAAGTTGGCCGGGTGTGGTGTCGTGTGCCTGTGGTCCCGGCTGCTGGGGAGGCTGAGGCAGAAGAGTCACTTGAACCCAGGAAGTAGAGGTTGTGGTGGGCCGGGATTGTGCCATTGCATTCCAGCCTGGGTGAAAGAGTGAGAATATCTCCAAAAAAAAAAAAAAATTTAATGATGGTCAAAGGGTGCAAAATCTCAGACAGGAAAAATATGTTTTATACTCTTTTTGAGTTCTATTGTACACTTCTGTTATACTTTTTTTGAGTGGTGCATACACTTAATAGTGGAGTATTATACATTTCAAAATGAATGTTCTCATCACAGAAATGTATTTGAACTGTGGTGGCTCATGCCTGTAATCCCAGCACTTTGGGAGGCCGAGGCAGGAGATCACCTGAGGTCAGGAGTTCGAGACCAGCCTGACCAACATGGAGGAACCGTGTCTCTACTAAAAACACAAAATTAGCTGGACGTGATGGCGCATGCCTCTAATCCCAGCTACTTGGGAGGCTGAAGCGGGAAAATCGCTTGAACCCGGGAGGCAGAGGTTGTGGTGAGCTGAGATCTTACCATTACACTCCAGCCTGGGCAACAAGAGCAAAACTCCATCTCAAAAAAAAAAAAAAAAAAAGGAAATGTATTTGAAGTATTGGGTATTTTAACTAGCTTGATTTAATTATTATACCTTGTATCCACAATTTGTGACATCACTTTGTAACCCATAAATTTATACAATTATAAATTGTCAATTTACAATAAAAAATTTTTGTTGCATCTTTTTAGAAAAAACTATCCATTCTTTCTGATCTCTCCTCATCTATAAAAAATGCTGCCAAATGTAGTTATAACACTGAAACAGATTATACCAGGCAAATTAAGCTGTGTGCACAGTAAGGACAATTTATTTTTATTTTTTTATTTAACTTTTAAGTTCAGGGATACAGGTGTGCAGGTTTTTATATAGGTAAACTCACGGCACAGGGGTTTGATGTACAGATTATTTCATCACCCAGGTACTCAGCCTACTACCCAATAGTTATTTTTTCTGCTCCTCTCCCTCCTCCCAACCTCCACCCTCTGGTAAGCCCCAGTGTCTGTTGTTTCCCTCTTTGTGTCCATGTGGTCTCATCATTTAGCTCCTACTTACAAGTGAGAACATGCGGTATTTGGTTTTCTGTTTCTGAGTTAGTTTGCTAAGGATAATGGCCTCCAGCTCCATCTATGTTCCTGCAAAGGACATGATTTCACTCTTTTTATGACTGCATAGTATTCCATGGCTTATATGTACCACATTTTCTTTGCCCAGTCTTCTGTTGATGGGCATTTAGGTTGATTCCATGTATTTGCTATTGTGAATAGTGTTGCAATGAACCTAGGCATGCATGCATGTCTTTATGATAGAATGACTTATATTCTTTTGGGTATATACCCAGTAATGGGATTGCTGGGTCGAATGGTATTTCTGTCTTTAGGTCTTTGAGAAATTGCTACACTGTCTTCCACAATGAACTAATTTACACTCCCACCAATATGTAAATTTGTTCCCTTTTCTCCACAACCATGCCAGCATCTGTTGTTTTTTGACTTTTTAATACTAGCTATTCTGACTGGCGTGAGATGGTATGTCACTGTAGTTTTGATTTGCATTTCTCTAATGATCAGTGATGTTGAGCTTTTTTTCATATGATTGTTGGCCACATGTATGTCTTCTTTTGAAAAGCGTTCATGTCATTTGCCCACTTTAATGGGGTTGTTTGTTGTAAATTTGTTTAAGTTCCTGATAGATGCTATTGTGGATAGCATTATTGTGGATTGCATTATTGTGGATATTAGACCTTTGTCAGATGCATAGCTTGCAAAAATTTTCTCCCATTTTATAGGTTGTCTGTTCACTCTGTTGATAGTTTCCTTTGCTGTCCAGAAGCTTGTTAGTATAAATAGATCCCATTTGCCAATTTTTGCTTTTGTTGCCATTGCTTTTGGTGTCTTCATCATGAAATCTAAGTCCAGAATTGTATTACCTAGGTTTTCTTCCAGGGATTTTGTAGTTTTAGGTTTTCAATTTAAGTCTTTAATTCATCTTGAGTTAATTTTTGCGTATGGTATAAGGAAGGGGTCCAATCTCAATCTTCTGCATATGGGCAGACAGTTATCCCAGCACCATTCATTGAACAGAGAATCCTTTCCCCATTGCTTATTTTTGTCAGCTTTGTTGAAGATCAGATACTTGTAGCTGTGTGGCCTTATTTCTGGGCTTTCTGTTCTGTTCCATTACTCTATGTGTCTGTTTTTGTACCAGTGCTGTGCTGTTTTGATTACTGTAGCCCTGTAGTATACTTTGAGTGGAGTTGGATTGCCTTAGCTCTTCAGGCTTTTTTTTTTTTTTTGGTTCCATATGAATTTTAAAATAGTTTTTTTCTAGTTCTGCAAAAAATATCAATGATAGTTTAATAAGAATAGCATTGAATCTATGAGTTGCTTTGAGCAGTATGGCCATTTTAATGATATTTATTCTTTCTATTCGTGAGCATGGAATGTTTTCCCGTTTGTTTTTGTCATCTCTAATTTTTTTGAGCAGTGTTTTATAGTTCTCACTGTAAAGATTGTTCACCTCCCTGGTTAGCTGTATTCCTAGGTATTTTATAATTTTTTGTGGCAATTGTGAATGGGATTGTGTTCCTGATTTGGCTCTTGGTTTGGCTGTTGTTGGTGTACAGGAATGTTAGTGATTTTTGCACATTGATTTTGTATTGTGAGACTTTGCTGAAGTTGTTTATCAGCTTAAGGAGCTTTTGGACTGAGACTGTGGGGTTTTCTAGATATAGGATTATGTCATCTGCAAACAGGGATAGTTTGACTTCTTCTCTTCTTATTTGGATGCCCTTTATTTCTTTCTCTTGTCTAATTGCCCTGCCCAGGACTTCCAATACTATGTTGAATAGGAGTGGTGAGAGAGGGCATCCTTGTCTTGTGCTGATTTTCAAGGGGAATGCTTCCAGCTTTTGCCCATTCAGTATGATGTTGGCTGTGGGTTTGTGATAGATGGCTCTCATTATTTTGAGATAGATTCCTTCAATATCTAGTTTATTGAGAGTTTTTAACATGAAGGAGTGTTGAATTTTATTGAAAGCATTTTCTGCATCTATTGAGATAATCATGTGGTTTTTGTCTTTAGTTGTATTTATGTGATAAATCACATTTATTGATTTGCATATGTTGAACCAAACTTGCATCCCAGAGATGAAGCCTACTTGATTGTGGCAGATAAGCTTTTTGATGTGCTGTTGGATTCAGTTTGCCAGTATTTTGTTGAGGATTTTTGCATCAATGTTCACCAAGGATATTATTGGCCTAAAGTGGGTTTTTTGTTTTGTTTTGTTTTCTTTTTTGTTTTTATGTCTCTACCAGATTTTAGTATCAGGATGATGCTGAGCTCATAGCATGAGTTAGGGAGGATTCTCTCCTCCTCAATTTTTTGTGATAGTTTTAGCAGGAATGGTACCAGCTCTTCTTTGTACATGAGATAGCATTCGGCTGTGAATCCATCTGGTCTTGGGCTTTTTTTGGTTGGTAAGCTATTACTGACAATTTCAGAGCTTGTTAATTGGTCTGTGCAGGGATTCATTTTCTTCCTGCTTCAGTCTTGGGAGAGTATATGTGTCCAGGAATTTATCAATTTCTTCTAGATTTTCTAGGTTATGTGCATAGAGATATTTGTACTATCCTGACAGTTGTTTGTATTTCTATAGGGTCAGTGTTAATCCCCTTTGTTGTTTCTGATTGTGTTTATTTGAATCTTCTCTCTTTCTTCTTTATTAGTCTAGCTAGTGGTCTATTTTATTAATTTTTTTCGAAAGACTGGCTCCGGGGTTTGTTGATCTTTTGAATGATTTCTTGTGTCTCAATTTCTTTCATTTCAGCCCTGATTTTGGTTATTTCCTGTCTTCTGCCAGCTTTGGGATTTGTTTGCTCTTGTCTGTCTAGTTCTTTTAGTTGTGATGTTAGGTTAATGTTGACTTTCGAGATACAGTCATACCTTCCAGTTTCAGATGACTGCAATAAAGTGAATATCATAATAAAGCAAGTCACACAAATTTTGGTTTCTCGGTGTGTATAAAAGTTATGTTTATACTATATCATAGTCTATTAAATGTGCACTAGCATTATATCTAAAGAAACAATGTACATACCTTAATTGAAAATACTTTATTGCTAAAAAATGCTGGTGATCAGCTAAGGCTTCAGCAAGTCACAATTTTTTTGCTAGTGGAGGGTCTTGCTTCAGTGTTGATGGCTGCTGACTTATCAGGTTGGTGATTGCTGAAAGTTGAGGTGGTTGTGGCCATTTATTAAAATAAGACAAAAATTTTTGTGAAGAGCCAGAATCAGCCTTGAGTAATGTATAGTAAATCTCAGTCTTGAACACTGGCACATAAAAAATGTGGAGAAGACTTTCGGCTATGCCACACAAAAAGAATGGATATTTACAAGGAAAAAAAGAATCAAACTTTGAAGAAGAATTCCAGGAGAAATGACAAAAGATGCCAGAATAAATAAAAAGACTATGCTTGAATGACTTGATCATTTCTACCAAGAGCTATATACTCATTTTAAAGCAATGACTCAAATAATGCCAATATTTGCTATCACTCTGCAATATTATCGGATTTTCAAAATAAAACGGGGGAGTTTGTTTTTTTGTTTTTGTGTTGAATTGTGAAAATTCTCTAGTGGAAATTTTCAATTCTGGAGACCATTGAAATCCACTAGAATTCATCCCTCTAAAACAAAGTAATGTACAGTATTATCATTTTTGGAACTTGTGAAATTGGTTTTTAGGAATTTTTGACAAACCATTTATATATGGGTTGCTTCATGTAAAAGAAACTTTTCACAGAGTGGAGAGAGTGAGGAGGCCTGCTCTGACAGCTGTTACAGTACATTGAGCTCCATAGAGACAGCGCCAGGGCAAGTGGGAGCCGGATGAGCACTGGGTGACTCTGTGCCTCACTGAGGAAAAAAATAACTAAACATGGGCAAAGGAGATCCTAAGAAGCCAAGAGGCAAAATGTTATCATATGCATTTCTTGTGAAAACTTGTCAGAAGGAGCATAAGAAGCTTCAGTCAACTTCTCAGAGTTTTCTAAGAAGTGCTCAGAGAGAGGCCAGGTGCGGTGGCTCATGCCTGTAATCTCAGCACTTTGGGAGGCCGAGGCAGGCAGATCACTTGATGTCAGGAGTTCACGACTAGCCTGGTCAACATAGTGAAACCCCGTCTCTTCTAAAAATCCAAATATTAGCCAGATGTGGTGGCGGGTGCCTGTAATCCCAGCTCCTTGGGAGGCTGAGGCAAGAGAATCGCTTGAACCCGGGAGGCGGAGGCTGCAGTGAGCCAAGACCTCACCACTGGACTCCACCCTGGGCGACAGAGAGACTCTGTTTCAGAAAAAGAAAAAAAAAAGTGCTCAGTGAGGTGGAAGACCATATCTGCTAAACAGAAAGGAAAATCTGAAGATATGGCAAAGGCAAACAAGGCCCGTTATGAAAGAGAAATGAAAATCTATATCCCCCCTAAAGGGGAGACAAAAAAGAAGTTCAAGTCCAATGCACCCAAGTGGCCTCCTGCAGCCTGTTTCGTGTTCTGTTCTGAGTGTTGCCCCAAATCAAAGAACATCTTGGCCTGTCCATTGGTGATGTTGCAAAGAAACTGGGAGACATGTGGAATAGCACTGCTGCAGATGACAAGCAGCCTTATGAAAAGACAGCTGTGAAGCTGAAGGAAAAATACAAAAAGGATCTTGCTGCATATTGAACTAAAGGAAAGCCTGATGCAGCAAAAAAGGGAGTCATCAAGGCTGAAAAAAGCAAGAAGAAGAAGGAAGGGGAGGAAGATGAAGAGGATCAGGAGGAGGAGGAAGATGAAGGTGAAGAAAATGATGATGAATAAGTTGATTCTAGTGCAGTTTTTTTTTCTTGTCTAAAAAGCATTTAACCCCCCTGTACAAAACTCACTCATTTTAAAGAAAAAAAAATTGAAATATAAGACTTTAATGTAAGGTTTTAATTATCTTTAAAGTTTTTATGTTTTCCTTTTTATCCTGTAATTTTTATTTAATATTATTTTATGTCATACTTATACATACAGATTTCAACAAAAGAACTGTCACTGTCTGCATTTCTTTTCTATGTAATTTTTCCCACTACTTTCATTTCATAATAATTTATGAACCTAATTTTTCATATAGAGAAAGGGACTTAAATTGCAATGCCCCACAGGTGTGAAATATTTGAGGCCCACCACAGGTAAAAGACAGCTTTCCCTGTTTACCACAGGCCCAAAGTGCCAAATTAACACACCCAAGGACCAGTTCTCTACAAATTACTTTTGTGAGTCAGTGTATAAATACTTCAGCTGCCTTGCCCTTTGTGAATCTGGTGTTTTGTGTCACTGTGAGTTTCTCCTGGGATTGAGGTCCGGCTGCTCATTGTGGTGGCCAGCTCAACAACAAACCCATCATGGACTCTCTTCTTTTTCTGTTTCACTGCCTGACTTCTCTACTGGTATCTCTAGTACCTCCCAAATAAACTTGGATCCATGTATCAGGGTCTGCTCCTGGAGGAACCAGTATCATTTAACCCAGAACAGTCCCCAACTTTTCTTTGTTTTGTTTTGTTTTTGAGATGGAGTCTTGCTCTGTCACCCAGGCTGGAGTGCAGTGGCGCGATCTCGGCTCACTGCAAGCTCCGCCTCCTGGGTTCACGCCATTCTCCTGCCTCAGCCTCCCGAGTAACTGGGACTACAGGCGGCCGCCACCATGTCTGGCTAATTTTTTGTATTTTTAACAGAGATGGGGTTTCACCGTGTTAGCCAGGATGGTCTCGATCTCCTGTCCTCGTGATTTGCCCGCCTTGGCCTTCCAAAGTGCTGGGATTACAGGTGTGAGCCACCGCGCCAGACCCTCAACTGTTTTTTTTTAAATGCCAGTGATTTACGAAGGACATAGAGGCAGCTTTCCACTAGAATGACCCATCTTCAGGATTTGTCTGATTGTTTCTTCATGGTATCATTTAACTTTTTCTACTCTTCCCTGTATTTCTGGTAAACTGAAAGACCCAAAAGGTTGCTTAAAGTAAAATAAAGCTTTCTTGGTAAGACTATTTCATGGGCAATGTTATTTATATTACATAACATTAGAATGCATGCCATGTTTGATGGTTCCACCTCTAGAGATGTTAAGATCTACCAGTGGGTTCAGGTGGGGATAGTCTGACTCCTTCATTGTTAAAGTGTGTTTTCCACCTTATAACCAACCTCTAATCTGTGAGTTGGTAACTTGACACCTCATAAGTCTCCAGTTCCCCATTGTGGCAGACAAAATAATGCCCTCTCCTAGATATGGTTATGCCCTAATCTCCAGAACCTGTGAATATGTTGTTACATGGCAATAGAAAATAAAGGTTGCAGATGGAATTAAAGTTCCTAATCAGCTGACCTTAAAAGGATTATCATGGGCGTATCATGGATAACGCAGGTGAACCCAATTAATCACAAGGTCCTTTAAAGTGGAAAAGGGAGGCTTAGAGCGGGTCAGAGTCAGAGAGAGGTTTGAAGCTGTTCCACTGCTGGTGTTGAAGAAAGAGGAAGGGGCAACTAGCCAAGGAATGCAGGCAGCTTCTAGAACCTGGAAAAGGCAAATAATTTGATTCTTTCCTAGGGCCTGACTATGGTTTGAATCTTTATCTTCCCCAAGACTCATGTTGAAATTTAATTGCCATTGTAATTAAATCACCTTTAAGGGGTGATTAGACCATGAGGACTCTGCCCTAATGGGTGAGATTAATGCCATTATAAAAGGGCAAGTTTGGCCCTCTTCTGCCTCTCTTTGCCCTTCCACCATGTGATGCCTTCTGCCATGCCATGATGCAGCAAGAAGGCCCTTACCAGGTACTGGCACCTTGATATTGGACTTCCCAGCCTCCAGAACTGTGAGTCAATAAATTTTTATTCGTTATAAATTAGCCAATCTGTGGTATTCTGTTATAACAGCATAAAACAGACTAGGACAGGCCTGCATTAGGAACACAGCCTGTGTGAACCTTGATTTCAGCTCATTGAAATGCATTTTAGACTTCTAACCTTCAGAACTATAAGATAATACACTTACTTTATTATTGTTTTAAGCCACTTACTTTCTGGTAATTTGTTGCAATAGCAATAGGAAACATATCCACTGAACTTTCATCAAATGTATTTTGTATCCATTCATTATTACCTAGAATATTATTCCATGAGGGGTTACAAAAAAGTGTTTTTCTAATTTCATCAACACTTTCTAGCTGGAATTCTTTTGTAAGAAATAAATATTTCCTCATCAGCCAAGGCTTTATGGTTATATATAATTTGACATGCAGTTTGAATAGGAAAGTCAGGATCAATGCTTAATAATTTCCATTAATTGCCAAATTCAGAGTTAAGAATGGACACAATAGCTATCTCCAATAGTGACAAATGCATTTTTAAAAATTATCATTATGAGCCAGGCATAGTGGCTCATGCCTGTAATCCCAGCACATTGGGAAGGTGAGGTGAGCGGATCACTGGAGGCCAGAAGTTTGAAACCAACCTGGGCAACATAGCAAGACCTAATCTCTTAAAAAAAAATTATTATCATAAGTGTTGACCTCAGGTAAGATACCTCTTTTCTCTGTATATTATTTTCCTCATATACAAAATGGGGATAAAAATGGTCTTACTTTGGCCGGGCACGGTGGCTCATGCCTATAATCCCAGCACTTTGGGAGGTCAAGGTGGGCAGATCACAAGGTCAGGAGTTTGAGACCATCCTGGCCAATACGGTGACACCATGTCTCTACTAAAAATACAAAAATTAGCTGGGTATTGTGGCACGCGCCTGTAGTCCCAGCTACTCGGGAGGCTGAGGCAGAAGAATCACTTGAACCCGGGAAGCGGAGGTTGCAGTGAGCTGAGATCCTGCCACTGTACTCCAGCCTGGGTGCAGAGCGAGACTCCGTCTCAAAAAAAATTATTAATCGTCAAGATTAATAACAATGATGATAATGATTACTACATTTATACACCTAATAACAGACCCTCAAAATATATGAAGGAAAAGTTGACAAAATTGAAGATAGTAGAATGTTCTACAATAATAGTCATAGTATTTAGTAACCCACTTTCGATAATGGATAAAACAACCAGGCAGAAAATAAGTAAGGCAGCCTTAAAAAGGGATGAGTTTCTGATACATACTACAACATAGATGAACCTTGAAGATACTATGCTAAGTGAAATAAGTCAGACAGAAAGGACAAATAATGTATTATTACACTTATATGAGGTATTTAGAATAGTCAAATTTATAGATAAATAAAGTAGAACAGTGGCTGTCAGGAGCTGAAGGGAGGGGAAAAGAGGAATTAGTGTTTCATGGGTACAGGGTTTTAGTATGGATGATTAAAGTTCAGGAGATGAATGGTGGTGATGGTTGCACAACAAGGTGAGGGTAATTAATGCTACTGAACTGTACACTTAAAAATGGTCAAAATGGTAGATTTTATGTTGTGACTATTTTACCACAAAAAAAAAATTTTAAAATATAATACAAATATAGTGCTCACTCTGTTCTATGCACTGTTCTAAGTACTTTACATAACATAACCATACTTAGTATGTAAGTAATGCACTTAGCATAAAGCCTAGAATTTAGAAGGTGTTTAATGAACAGTAGTTAATAATAACAATTATTATTGATGATAACAATCTCCATTTAAAAAATAGGAGACAGAGGCTTGGAGATCTTAAGGGACTTGTCCAAGATCACTCAGCCTGAAGGTGTTGGTACAGGGTCAATACAGACTCCAAAAGCCTCACTGTCTCACTTTGCTGCTTCCCATGAATTATTGAATCTTACAGCCAGCAACTAATAGCAGTGGAAAAGATATAGGGAAATAAATCCAGTAATGCAAACAAATAGCTGTTAGAAACCATAATTTTCAGTGCAAAAGAAAATTATAAAATTATAATTTTAGTGCCAAAGAAAATTGTAAAATTGAGTTGCATAAGAAAAGATGTTCAATATCACCAATCAGCAGGGAAATGCAAATGAAAACTATAATGGGATACCATTACCCAATCACTAGAATCATTAAAGTGAAAAAGTCTGATAATACAAGTGATGACAAGCTTGTGGCATAATTAGAACTTTCATACATGCTGATGGGAATGCAAAATTGTTCGACTTCTTTGAAAAGCAGCTTGGCATATCTAATAAAATTAAACATGCACTGATATTTTCCAACAATTCTATTCTTAGGTGTTGTTTTCAAGAGAAAAAGAAAACACATGTCCACACAAAGACTTGTACTGGAATGTTTACAGCAGCTTTATTAATAATAGTCAAAAGCTGGGGACAACACAAATGTCCATCATGGATAAAGAAACTGTTGTATACTCATACAATGGAATTATATTTTCAGCAATAAAAACTGACATAATATTAATATATACAGAAATGTATGAATCTCAAAAGCATTAAGAGGTCAGACACAAAAAACTACATATCATATTATCAAAAAAATGTTGCAACAAATTTAGTTTAAAGGTCTCAGTTGGCTTTATCAAGATTCTAGAATTGGGTAACATTTATTCCATAAGCTAGAATAATTGTTCCCATGGCTCAAGCAGAGGATGTTGGTTTTATAGACAGTAAAAGGGCTGAAGAAAGCAAAACAAATAACAAAAAGTGGATTGGTCATTTCCAAGTTACTTTCTTTGTAAGTCAGGGACAGGAAGACAGAACAATGGGAAGATAACTGATGGGTTAACAACAGGTTACTCCAGGTTACTCTTTGTTGTAAGGATTAAAACAGAGGAAACTTCATTCTCATGCTGATAGAAGGTTGAAATTGGCCTGTTTGGGAAATTAGGCTCCTTCTCACTCCTGTTTTCTCAAAAGGCCAGATAACAGCTTAGTTTTGGTTTGGTGAGCCGGGGTAACTCCATTTTGAGTTTTAGTCTCGTCCATTGGGGCCCAGTATAGGAGTTTAGTCCAAAACAATGGCATCCTGGCAGGGCATGGGCTCACACCTGTAATTCCAGCACTTCAGGAGGTCAAGGTGGGAAGATTGCTTGAGCCCAGGAATTCAAGACCAGCCTGGGCAACACAGCAAGACCACATCTCTACAAAAAATAAAAATAAGAAAATTAGCCCAATGTGGTGGTGCACACCTGTAGTCCTAGCTACTGGGGAGGTTGAAGCAGATGGATCACTTGTGTCCGGGAGGTCAATGCTATAGTGACCTGTGACATGCCATTGCACTCCAGCCTGGGTGACAGAGTGAGACCCCATTTCCCCCCCCAAAAAAGGCCCCCTATAATTTTTGTTTAACAATATGATACCATTTATGTAAAATTCTAGTAAAGGTAAACTAAAGTGACAGAGGTAGATCAGTAGTTGCCAGGGATTGAGGGTCAGGAGAGGGAATCAACTGCAAAGGGGCATGAGAAAATATTTTAGGGTTTTGATGTTACACAATTGTACACCTAAAAATGAGTGAATTTTGGCTGGGCGCAGTGGCTCACGCCTGTAATCCCAGCACTTTCGGAGGCCGAGGCAGGCGAATCACGAGGTTAGGAGATCAAGACCATCCTGGCCAACATGGTGAAACCCCATCTCTACTAAAAATACAAAAAAATTAGCCAGACTTGGCGGCGTGTGCCTGTAGTCCCAGCTACTCGGGAGGCTGAGGCAGGAGAATTGCTTGATTGCAGGAGGCAGAGACTGCAGTGAGCCAAGATTGTGCCACTGCACTCTTGCTCTGGCGACAGAGCAAGACTCCGTCAAAAAAAAAAAAAAAAAAGAGTGAATTTCATTGTGTCTAAATTATGCATCCATAAAGCTATTAAGAAATCAAAGGAATTAACTAAGACTCCTATAATGTTATTTTGAATTAGAAATATTAAATTAAATTCACTATTTAAAATATTAACATATTTCTATTTCTTCACTGTGTTCAATGAAAAAGCTTAGAAGCATCCCAGGAGAAATGAGTACTCCTATCACCCAGAACTTGGTCCTAAATATTCCCTCATCATGGTACTGTGGGGAACCAGGGCTCTTTGGAAAAATGACTGATTCCAGGTCACAGGCTGGTAATGTACAAGATGAGTCTGGGACACCTTCTCCTACTAGAAAATAATGATGCTGTCAAAAAGTAAGTGGAGCTGGGTCAAAAGCACATAGAAGCCAGCATTGGCTCCCCTTGGCCAAAGATGAAATAATTGGAGTATAAAAGTTAATAACGACCTCACTTGATTAAGCACAGATGTGTTTCTGCCCTCATAAGCATATAATCTAGTAGGGAGACATATGATAACAATGCAAATAAGCATACTGAATTAGGCAGGCTAAGCCAGGCTGTACCTTAGTAACAACCCTGAATCTGCTTAACATAATGAAAGCACAAGACACTATGAAACAGAAAAAAGAAGTCTTGGAAAATAATCAGATAGAACTTCTAGAATGAAAAATATAATCATTAAAATTAAAAACTCCATGAATGACTAAATATGAGATTAAACACAGCTTAGGAGAGAATTAGTGACCTGGTAGATAGAACTGAGAAAATTACCCAGGGTGTATGCATAGATACAGAGATGGAAAATGTAAAAGATGGGTTCAGAAACATAGGGGATGAAAGAGAAAGTTCAGCATTCATCTAATAAAATTTCCAGAAGATGAGAAAAAAGAGAATGGAGGGAGAGACAATATTCAAAGCAATTTCAAATAAGGATTATCCAGACTTCATGATAGACATAAATCTTCAGATGTAGAAAGGCTAAAACATCTTAAGCAAGATAAAAAAAATCTATACATATACACACTGAAGTGAAAATGAAAAACCCCTAAATCAAATAGAATATCTTGAAATAACTGGAGAGAATGAAGATATTAGCCACAGATAATAAAAATTAGAGTAATTTTAGACATCAACAGCAACAATAGAAGCTGGTATTCAGTTGTTCAGCAGTATTATATTGTCAAAGTAGCTAGAGAAAATAAGTATCTACCTAGAAGTTTATCCCCAAATAAAGAAACATTCGAGTAAGGGGAAAATTTTTTAGATAAAGACTTAAATATTTACCAGTAATTGACCTATGGTTAAAGAACAACTAAAGGATATACTTCTAAAAGAAGGAAATCTAACTCAGGAATAAATATACAATACAATGATAATTTAAAAATTATATATGTATTTAATTATACATAAATTTGGGCTTACTAAATAAGCATTGATTATATAAAGTGGTAATAAAGGTTAATTTTGAGTGGTATAAATAGAAAGTTGAAACAAAAATATTATAAAATGATAACATGTATATGGAGGAAGTGATTGGAGTGAAAGATTTAAGTCACTGTATAATATAAATGAGGGTAGAGTTCTTTAACTTTAGATCTTAAGTCAAATATGTGTATTAAAAATTGTAGATGCAGAAAAGTCTTTTGATAAAATTCAACATTCCCTCATGTTAACGACTCTCAATAAACTAAGTATTGAAGGAATATACCTCAAAATAATGAGAGCCATCTATGACAGACACACAGCCAACATCATACTGAATGGGCAAAAGCTAGAAGCATTCCCCTTGAAAACTGGCAAAAGACAAAAATGTCCTCTCTCACCACTTATTTTCAGCATAGTATTGGAAGTCCTGGCCAGGGCAGTCAGGCAAGAGAAAGAAAGTGCATCCAAATAGAAAGAGAGGAAGTCAAACTATCCCTCTTTGCAGATGATTATAATCCTGTGTCTAGAAAACTCCACAGTCTTGGCCCAGAAGCTCCTTAAGCTGATAAACAACTTCAGCAAAGTTTCAGGATACAAAATCAACATACAAAAATCACTGGCATTCCTATACACCACCAACAGTCAAGCCAAGAGCCAAATCTGGAATGCAATCCCATTTACAATTACCACAAAAAGAATAAAATACCCAGGAATACAGCTAACCAGGGAGGTAAAAGGTCATTACAACAAGAACTACAAAACACTGCTCAAAAAAATCAGAGATGACACAAACAAATGGAAAAACATTCCATGCTCATGCATAGGAAGAATCAATATCATTAAAATGGCCATATTACCCAAAGCAATTTACAAATTTAATGCTATTCCTATCAAAATATTATTGACATTCTTCACAAAACTAGAAAAAACTATTTTAAAATTCATATGGGACCAAAAAAGAGCCTGAATAGCCAAGACAATTTTAAGAAAAAAGAACAAAGCTGGAGGCATCATGCTACCTAGCCTCAAACTATACTACAAGGCTACAATAACCAAAACAGCATGGTACTGGTATAAAAACAGGCACATAGTCCAGTGGAACAGAATAGAGAGCCCAGAAATAAGGCCACACACCTCCAACCATCTGATCTACAAACCTGCCAAAAACAAGCAATGGAGAAAGGACTTCCTATTCAATAAATGGTGCTGGCATAACTGGCTAGCCATATGCAGAAGACTGAAATTGGATTCCTTCCTTACACCATATACAAAAATTAACTCAAGAAGGATTAAAGGCTTAATCCTTTAATTAAATGTAAAACCCAAAACAATATAAACCCTGGAAAACAAACTATGCAGTACCATTCTGGACATAGGAACAGGCAAAGATTTCATGACGAAGACATCAGAGGTAATTGCAACAAAAGCAAAAATTGGCAAAGGGGATATAATTAAACTAAAGAGTTTTCTGTACAGCAAAGGAAATTATAAACAGAGTAAACAGACAACCTACAGAAAGGGAGAAAATGTTTGCAAACTAAGCATCAGACAAAGATCTAGTAAGGAACTTAAACAAATTTACAAGCAAAGACCAAACAACCCCATTAAAAAGTGGGCAAAGGACATGAACACTTTTCAAAAGAAGACATACATACGGCCTACAATCATATGAAAAAAGCTTAGCATCACTCATTATTAGAGACATGCACATCAGGCTGGGCGTGGTGGCTCACGTCTGTAATCCCAGCACTTTGGGAGGCCGAGACAGGTGGATCACTTGAGGCCAGGAGTTTGAGACCAGCCTGGCCAATATGGTGAAACCCTGTCTCTAATAAAAATACAAAAATTAGCCAGGCATGGTGGTGCATGCCTCTAATCCCAGCTACTCGGGAGGCTGAGGCAGGAGGATCACTTGAATCTGGGAGGCAGAGGTTGCAGTGAGCCGTGATCAGGCCACTGCACTCCAGCCTGGGGGACAGAGTGAAACTCTGTCTCAAAAAACAAACAAAAAGAAGAGACATGCACATCAAAACCATAATGAGATATTATCTTCACCAGTCAGAATGGCTATTACTAAAAAGTCAAAAAATAACAGTTGCTGATGAGGTTGTAGAGAAAAGGGAGCACTTATACATTGTTAGTGGGTGTGTAAATTAGTTCAACCATTGTGGATGACTGTGTGGCGATTCCTCAAAGACCTAAAGACAGAAATACCATTTGACCCAGCAATCCCATTACTGGGTATTTACCCAAAGGAATATAAATTGTTCTATTTTAAAAACACTTGCACAAGTATGTTCATTGCAGCACTATCCATAATAGCAAATACAGGGAATCAACCTAAATGTCCATCAGTGGAAGGTTGGGCAAAGAAAATGTGGTATATATATGTATATATATATGCCATGGAATACTATGCAGTCATAAAAAGAATGAGATCATGTCCTTTGCAGGAACATGGATGGAGCTGGAGGCCATTATCCTTAGCAAACTAACTCAGAAACAGAAAATCAAATACTGCATGTTCTCACTTATAAGTAGGAGCTAAATGATGAGACCACATGGACACAAAGAGGGAAACAACAGACACTGGGGCTTACCAGAGGGTGGAGGTTGGGAGGAGGGAGAGGAGCAGAAAAAATAACTATTGGGTAGTAGGCTGAGTACCTGGGTGATGAAATAATCTGTACATCAAACCCCTGTGCCGCGAGTTTACCTATGTAAAAAACCTGCACATGTACCCCTGAACCTAAAATAAGTTAAAGAAAAGGCACAAACATACAGAAAAAAATTTTAATGGTAGCTCTAAGAATAAAAATAGAGGCTGGGCACGGTGGCTTACACCTGTAATCCCAGCAGTTTGGGAGGCTGAGGCAGGCAGATCACCTGAGGTCAGGAGTTTGAGACCACCCTGGCCAACATGGTGAAACCCTGTCTCTACTAAAAATACAAAAATTAACCAGGTGTGGTGGCAGCTGCCTGTAATCCCAGCTACTCGGGAGGCTGAGGCAGGAGAATTGCTTGAACCCAGGAGGCAGAGGTTGCAGTGAGCCAAGATCATGGCACTGCACTCCAGCCTAGGTGACAGAGCGAGACTCCAGCTCAAAAAAAAAAAAAAAAAGAATAAAAAATAGAGTATACAATTTAAAAACAATGAGAAATTTAAAAGGCTTCAGTCAATCTAGTAGAAAGCAACAGAAAACAGAAACATTAACAAAGGAGGAAATACAGTAAGCCCCAAATAAGATGTTAGAAATAAATTCAAGCATCTAAGAAACCACAAACAAGTAAATGGACAAAACACATCATTTAAAGACAGAAATTATTATATTATATTGAAAAAATATGGCCACATGCTCTTTAGAATTTTTTTTTTTCTTTTTTGAGATGGAGTCTCACTCTGTTGTCTAGGCTGGAGTGCAGTGGTGCAATCTCGGCTCACTGCAACCTCCACCTCCTAGTTCAGATTCTCCTGCCTCAGCCTCCCAAGTAGCTGGGACTACAGGCATGTGCCACCATGCCCGGCTAATTTTTGTATTTTTAGTAGAGATGAGCTTTCTCCATGTTGGCCAGGCTGTTCTCGAACTCCTGAACTCAGATGATCTACCCGCCTCAGCCTCCCAAAGTGCTGGGATTGTGTGAGCCACCGCACTTGGCCATGCTCTTTAGAATTTTTAAAACTTAAGGACATAGGTGAAGTATGTACAGAATTTGCTATAGTATCTTCTTGCACTGCTCAGATCCACTCTGTTCCTACATCAAGTCCATTGTATGCTGTCAGATTCTCCAAGGTGGTGGCCATTTATAATCCCTAATACAAAATTTACAAAAGGAGGATTCTTGGGACAAAAATTAGTTTCCACTGTTACAGTTCACTCTGGGGCTATAATTGATATTCATCAACTCCCTCCTCTTCTTTTCATTCTAGATGTCTCTTAGTGTCAGCCTCAGCCAGAACTTCTGCTAGTCTAGATTGCTTACCCAGACCTTCTACCCAAAGGGATCTGGGCCACTAGTTATCTTGTTCTTGTAAGGCCATGATTGCTGCAACTGCCCGTTTGTGTATTGTCACTAGTCACAGAGAACACCAAATTTCAAACACATTCCCTCCTGCTCTCATTATATAGCAACACTTCTATTTCCTTATGATAATCAGGATTAATACCTTGCCAATATAATTACTCCTCTCTTTGCTTGGAGGCTTACCAGCATGAAGAATCTGAAATGACCAAAAGACAGTCCATAGCTTTAGGTTCAGTGAAACCATTGTAGTGCCCTTTGGTAAAAACATTTCATCCCTTGGTGCAATACCTTATCCATTACCTTGGCGTGGTGGAATATCCTGGAATGCCCTAGACCATTGGACTACGAAAAATGTTATTGATGTGACAGACATATTAATCATTGTAAGGTTAATCTCTAACTTTCTGGCATGCATGTTTATTTCCAAGGTGCTATAGATTGAATTTGTCCTCCCAAAATTCATGTGTTGAAGTCTTAACCCCTAATGTGATGGTATTTGGAGACAGGGCCTTTGGGAGATAATTCGGTTTAGATGAGTTCATGAGGGTAGGGTTCTCATGGTGGAACTGGTGCCCTTATAAAAAGAGACACAGAGGGCTTACTTCCTCTTTCTCTTCCTCCCTCTCCCTGCCATGTGAGGACACAGTGAGGTTTGCCATCTGTAAGTCAGGAAGAGAGCCCTCACCAGGGAACCAGATTGGCTAGCATCTTGATCTTCAACTTCCCAGCCCCCAGAACTGTAAGAAAGACATTCCTTTTGTTGAAGCCCCCCAGTGTATCATATTTTGTTATGGCAGCCCAAGCTGACTAAGATACAAGGCATCCAAAATACTCCTTCTGTTCACCAGGTCTAATGAATATGATGTCATCAGTATGGTAGACCATCATAATGATGTTTTGTAGAAATGTCAAAATGATCAAAATTCCTTTGGCTTATATTGTGACAGAAAAGAGAATTATCAGAGCTCCAGCAATGTGTACTGCTGTTCACACTAGGTGAATGTGAAATGATAACTGTACTCTGCTTTTGATCTTCCTTTTTGATGGGGATAAAAAGAATACATTTGCCTTATCAATAGCAACAACCAAGTGTTGATTGGTTGTAGTAGAGACACCATATCTGGCACAGTGGTTGTAGTCAGATCTACCAGTTGGTTAAGTTTATGGAAGTACACCATTGTTCACTCTGATTTATATTTCTTTTGCAGGGGATATAATAGTAAGTTAAATAGAAATATAGTAAAAATCGCCACCCTTGCATCCTTTAAATCATTAAGGGTGGCATTAATTTTTGCCCATTAACTTCCACCCATCATGTAGTATTGCTTCTGATTCCCTGTCTTGGCCAGGGTGGGGAAAAGTTTCAGGGGCTCTCACTTGACCTTTTCTCCCATAAGGTCTTTTACTTCTCAGAGAACCAATACTAAGTATATCTATCTTGAATATGTACCCAAGGACTAGAGAAATGATCACAGTATGGACCCTAGTGGAAGATGGACTTGGGCCAGGACTCCATGTACCATCTTTCATATGACCTTACTATAACAAGGGAGAAATGATGGCAAAACAGGTTTCCTGGTAAAAATGCCAGTGCAGGCCTGTTATCCAACAGCTCTCAAAAGACTTGGGTATATTTTTATATGTGATTGTGGTTAAGTTATCTGCTCAAAATAGACAGTTATAACTACAAGACGCTTTATGTAAGCCTCATGGTAAGCACAAGGGAAAAAACCTCCAGTAGATATACAAAAGATAAAGAAAAAGGAATTAAAGCATACCACTATCAAAAAAAGAATCCATATCAAATCACGAAGATAGCAAGAGTGGAAGAAAGAAAGACAGAAACTACAAAACAGAATACAATGAGAAAATGACAAGAGTAAGCCCTCATCTATCAAGAATTACTTTAGATGTGAATGGATTGAATTCTCCAATCAAAAGATATAGATGGCTGGAGCATTTTAAAAATCCAGTAATATGCTGTCTACAAGAGACCCACTTTAGTTTTAAGGACACACATAGGCCAGGTGTAGTGGCTCATGCTTGTAGTCCCAGCTACTCAGGTGGCTGAGGCAAGAGGATCACTTGAGCCCGAGAGTCAAGGTTGCAGTGAGCCATAATTGTGCCACTGCACTCCAGCCTGGGAGACAGAGCAAAAGCCTGTCTCAAAAAAAAAAAAAAAAAAAGTTTTGGTGACAATGTGGGTAAAACAGAACACTTACACACAGTTGGTGGGATTGTAAATTAGTATAGCCATTATGGAACACAGTGTGGAGGTCCCTCAAAAAATTAAAACTAGAACTACTCTATGATCCAGCAACCCCATTATTGGGCATATATCCAAAGGAAATGAAATCAGCACATCGAAGAGATATTTGCACTCCCATATTTATTGCAGCACTATTTACAATAGCCAAGATATGGAATCAACCTAAGTGTCCAACAATGGATGAATGAATAAAGAAAATATGTCATATATACACAATGGAATATTATTCAGCCATAAAAAGAATGAAACACTGTCAATTGTGAGAACATGGAAGACCCTGAAGGACATCATGTTAAGGTAAATAAGCCAGGCACAGAAAGACAAATAGTGCTTAATCTCACTCATATGTAGAATCTTAAAAATAAATCATGGAAGTAGAGAGTAGAACAGTTGTTGCCAGAGACTGGGGAGGAGGGAAAGGGGGAGAGGTTGGGAGACACGCACAAAGTTACAGTAAGATAGGAGTGTTCTACTGCTCAGTAGGGTTACAATGGTTAATAGTAAGGTATTGTATATTACAAAATAGCCAGAAGGCCAGTCTTTTGAATGTTCTCACCTCAAAGAAATGATAAATACATGGGTGATGGATATGCTAACTACCCTGATTTGATCATTATATAATGTATATATGTATCGGAATATCAAATTGTATCCCATAAATATGCACAATTACATGTGTCAATTAAAAAACAAAAAATAAGCCAGATGGGTGGCATGTATACCTGTAGTCCCAGCTACTTGGGAAGCTGAGACAGGAGGATCACTTGAGCCCAGGAGTTCAAGTTCAGCACAGGCAACATAGTGAGAACCCATCTGTAAAAAGTCAATCAATCAATCAATCAATCAATAAAAAGAGGTTAGTGATTAAAAAAAGAAATAGGCCTTCAAATCAGAAAAGAAGCACAATTATCTGTTTGCAGATGACATGATCATATATGTAGAAAACCCTAAAGACTTAACAAAAAACTGTTAGACTTAAATGAATTTAGCAAAATGGTAGGATAAAAAAATCAACATACAAAAATCTGTTGTGATTGAGTACACATGGACACAAAGATGGGAACAATAGGGACCTACTTCAGTGGGGAGGATGAGAGGAGGTAAGGGTTGAAAAACTACCTATTGGGTACTATGCTTGCTTCCTGGGTGATGAAATCATTTGGATACCCAACCCAGCAACACGCAATTTACCCATGTAGCAAACCTGTACATGTAACCCCTGAACCTAAAATAGAAGTTGAGAAAAGAAAAAAAAAAAAACCTGTTGTGTTTCTATACACAATGAACTATTCGAAATTAAGAAAGTAATCCCAGGCTGGGCACAGTGGCTCACGCCTGTAATCCCAGCACTTTGGGAGGCCAAGGCAGGTGGATCACCTGAGGTCAAGAGTTCAAGACCAGCCTGGCCAACATGGTGAAACCCTGTCTCCACTAAAAATACAAAAAAATTAGCCAGGTATAATGTAATCCCAGCTACTTGGGAGGCTGAGGGAGGAGAATCGCCTGAACCCAGGAGATGGAGGTTGCAGTGAGCCGAGATGGCACCACTGCACTCCAGCCTGGGTGACAGAGTGAGACACTGTCTCAAAATAAAAAAAAAAAAAAGTAATCCCATACTCAATAACAACAAAAGGAATAAAATACTTTGGAATAGGCTTAACCAAAGAGGTGAAAGACTTGTACACTAAAAATTATAAAACATTGATGAAGGAAATTAAAGAAGACAAAGATGAAAAGACATCTCATGTCCATGAATTGGAAGAATTAATATTGGTAAAATGTCCATACTACCCAAAGTGATCTACAGATTCAGTTCAATTCCTATCAAAATCCCAATGGCATTCTTTACAGAAATACAAAAACAATGTCTTAAAATTCTTATAAAACCCCAAATAGCCAAAGCAATCTTGAGCCTAAAGAACACAGCTGGAGGGCATTACACTTCTGATTTCAAAATATATTACAAAGCTACAGTAATCACAATAGTATGGTACTGGCATAAAAACAGACATATAACCAATGGAATAAAATGGAGAGTCCAGAAATAAACCCATGTATCTATAGTCAACTGATCTTTGATAAAGGTGTCAAGAACACATAATGGGTCAAGAATGGTCTCTTTATACTTTTAAATTTGGTTTTATTTTATTCTTTGCCTACTCACATCAGCAGCAATAGAAAGATTGTCTCTTCAATACATGATTTTGGGGAAATTGGGTATCCACATGCAGAAGAATGAAACTGGACCCTTATCTCACACCTCACAGAAAAATCAGTTCAGATGGATTAAATATTTAAATGTAAGCCTGAAATCATAAAATACTAGAAGAAAACATAGAAAGAAGGCATCTTTACATTTGTCTGGGCAATGTTTTCTTGGCTATGACACCAAAAGCACAGGTAACAAATGCAAAAGGATTTGCATAGGATTGTATCAAACTAAAAAGCTCTGCACAGCAAAGGAAATAATCAACAGAGGCAAAAGGCAACCTACAGAATGGGGAAAATATATTTGCAAGCCATACATCTGATAAGGAGTTAATATCCAAAATATGTAAGAAATCCAAACAACTCAATAGCAAAAAAAAAAAAAAAGACCCCCTCTCAAAATGGGTTAAGGAATTGAATAGACATTTCTTTTTTTTTTTTTTTTATTGATCATTCTTGGGTGTTTCTCGCAGAGGGAGATTTGGCAGGGTCACAGGACAATAGTGGAGGGAAGGTCAGCAGATAAGTGAACAAAGGTCTCTGGTTTTCCTAGGCAGAGGACCCTGCGGCCTTCCGCAGTGTTTGTGTCCCTGGGTACTTGAGATTAGGGAGTGGTGATGACTCTTAACGAGCATGCTGCCTTCAAGCATCTGTTTAACAAAGCACATCTTGCACCACCCTTAATCCATTCAACCCTGAGTGGACACAGCACATGTTTCAGAGAGCACAGGGTTGGGGGTAAGGTCACAGATCAACAGGATCCCAAGGCAGAAGAATCTCTCCCAGCACAGAACAAAATGAAAAGTCTCCCATGTCCACCTCTCCCCACACAGACATGGCAACCATCCGACCCCTCAATCCCCTCCCCACCCTTCCCCGCCCTCCACTCCACAAAACCGCCATTGTCATCATGGCCCGCTCTCAATGAGCTGCCGAGCACACCTCCCAGACGGGGCGGTGGCCGGGCAGAGGGGCTCCCCACCTCCCGGATGGGGCGGCTGGCCGGGGGGGGGGCTGACCCCCCCACCTCCCTCCCGGACTGGGCGGCTGGCCGGGCAGAGGGGCTCCTCTCTTCCCAGCAGGGGCGGCCGGGCAGAGGCGCCCCTCACCTCCCAGACGGAGCGGCTGGCCGGGCGGGGGGCTGACCCCCCCACCTCCCTTCCGGACGGGGCGGCTGGCCGGGCGGGGGGCTGACCCCCACCTCCCTCCCAGACGGGCTGGCTGCCGGGCGGAGACGCTCCTCACTTCCCAGACGGAGTGGCTGCCGGGCGGAGGGGCTCCCCACTTCCCAGACGGGGCGGTTGCCAGGCAGAGGGTCTCCTCACTTCTCAGACGGGGCGGCCGGGCAGAGACGCTCCTCACATCCCAGACGGGGCGGCCGGGCAGAGGCGCTCCCCACATCCCAGACGATGGGCGGCCTGGCAGAGACGCTCCTCACTTCCTAGATGGGATGGCGGCCGGGCAGAGACGCTCCTCACTTTCCAGACTGGGCAGCCAGGCAGAGAGGCTCCTCACATCCCAGACGATGGGCGGCCAGGCAGAGAGGCTCCTCACTTCCCAGACGGGGTGGCAGCCAGGCAGAGGCTGCAATCTCGGCACTTTGCGGGGCCAAGGCAGGCAGCTGGGAGGTGGAGGTTGTAGCGAGCCGAGATCACGCCACTGCACTCCAGCCTGGGCACCATTGAGCACTGAGTGAACGCGACTCCGTCTGCCATCCCGGCACCTCGGGAGGCCGGGGCTGGCGGATCACTCGCGGTTAGGAGCTGGAGACCAGCCCGGCCAACACAGCGAAACCCCGTCTCCACCAAAAAAATACGAAAACCAGTCAGGCGTGGCGGCGCGCGCCTGCAATCGCAGGCACTCGGCAGGCTGAGGCAGGAGAATCAGGCAGGGAGGTTGCAGTGAGCCGAGATGGCAGCAGTACAGTCCAGCTTTGGCTCGGCATCAGGGGGAGACCGTGGAAAGAGAGGGAGAGGGAGACCGTGGGGAGAGGGAGAGGGAGAGGCAGAGGGAGAGGGAGAGGAGGGAGAGGGAGAGGAGGAGCCTTTCCAATTTTCTTTCCTTCCTTCCTTCCTTCCTTCCTTCCTTCCTTCCTTCCTTCCTTCCTTCCTTCCTCCCTCCCTCCCTCCCTCCCTCCCTCCTCCCTTCCCTTCCCCTCCGAATAGACATTTCTTAAAAGACATACAAATGGCCAAAAGATACATGAAAAGGTGTGCAACATCACTAATCATCATGGAAGTACAAATCAAAAGCACAAGAGATAACCTCACACTTGTTAAAATGGCATTGTCAAAAGAAAACAAGTGTTGGTGAGGCTGTGGAGAAACAGAAACCCATATACACAGTTGAAGGGATTGTAAATCGGTATAGTCATTATGGAAAATAGTATGGAGGTTCCTCAAAACATTAAAATAGAGCTAGCATATGTTCCAGCAATCCCACTTCTGGGCACATATATGCTCAAAAGAAATGAAAGTAGTATCTTGAAGATATATCAGCACCCCTATGTTCATTGCAACATTATTTACAATAGCCAAGATATGAAAAAAATCTAAGTTGATGAATGAATGGATAAAGAAAATGTGAGAGATATATACAATGGAATATTATTCAGCCTTTAAAAAGGAGATCTTGCCCTTTGGGACAGCATGGATGAGCTTGGAGGACATCCTCCTAAGTGAAATCAGCCAGAAACAGATTCACAGCATGATCTCACTCATATGAGGAATCTAAAAAACGTTGAACTCATAAAAGCAGAGTAGAATGGTGGTTGCCAGGGGCTGAGGAATGGGGGAAATGAGGAGGTATTGGTCAAAGCGTACTAAGGTTCAGTTATTCGGGACACATAAGCTCTGGAGATCTAATGTACAACATGGAGACTATAGTTAATAATACTGTTTTGTATACTTGAAGTTTACTAAGAGAGTTGATCTTAAGTGTTTCACCAAATACATATACACACAAATCATAACTATGTAAGGTAATGGATATGTTAATTAGCTTGAATGTGGTAATTGTTTCACAATATATATGTATACAAAACCATCACATTGTATACTTTAAATATATACAGGTCAGGTGTGGTGGCTCATATCTGTAATCCCAGCACTTTGGGAGCTGGAGGATCACTTGAACCCAGGAGTTTGAGACCAGCTTTGGCAACATGGTGAGACCTTGTCTCAAAAAAAAAAAAAAAAAAAAAACGCTGGGCATGGTGGTGCACACCTGTGGTCCCAGCTACTTGGGAGGCTGAGGCAGGAGGATCACTTGAGCCCAGGAGGTCAAGTACACCTCAATAAAGCTGAAAAAAAGACTTGGGTATTCTCCCTTCTCCAGTAGACAATTAGTCTGGTAACTGATTATAGGGCTTTTTGAGAAAGGGCTTAATTATGTATTACACATGCATGCTAAGTCATTGTGGTGTCCTTCCTCAAGGGGATTTGGGCACCTCTCCAATCAATGGGCTCTGGCTGAGAACAGGCTCAAATCTTCAAATTGCCATGAATTATGATTTTCCACTGTGGCAACTGGTTGTCAGTCTTCAGCTTCCATGCTTTCGATATTTTTTGGTTTATAAGTCAACACTAGTTGGCTGCCCATGCGTCTCATCTCTAGAGACACCATGTTCTATTAGCCATCATCACAGATCTCTGAAGGTCAGAGTCTCTGCTTCCCATTCCAGTTTTGCTGCCAATAACACACACCTTGCCTCTGATGTTTAAGTGTCACTTCCTGGACCCTGAAAGTTCAGAATCTATCTTCCTATTTACACTAGATAGTTCAATTCTACAGTTACATCTTTACCATCAACTTCGCTTACAGAGGAAAGCCACCACTGAGTTTCTCATAGTGCATTCTTTATTCCATAGTGCACACTCATTTAGCAAGCTGAGTGTTCTCTAGCCTTCTTACACAACTTAGTAGCTGTTTGGTCTTATGCCATAAATCCATTCTAGCATGCCCACTTCTCTGAGCCTTCTGATCTCTTCCGTAATACACTGCCAACATAGTTATGGCATTTCTACCCAATTTACTGTAGGCCTGTACAGTACTCCAAGCTTTAAAGTACTTCAAGCTTTAAGGAACTATTCTAGCTATGTGTTAAGACTGGCTTTGCGCATTCTTGTTAGGATGTGAAATCTTGAGTTACAGCAGCAACTTACAGGAGCACCCACTTCAATAAACTATCTCCTACCTAGCCTTTATAGTTTCCCTCCACCATGATGCAATATCCTCAAGACACACTCTCACACATATTCTTTCAGTTCCTCTCCGTATATTTTAATTTCTGCAGCTCTGATGGTGAATAATGTGTAAGCTCCCATGTAAGAAACACCGCTTCCCTTAAGCCATGCTGGGATGAGAGCACACATAGTTTTTGTCTAAGGGCGGGATATGATGAGGGAGAGGCAGGAGGACAACCATTATCTTGGAAGACATATGTTTTAGGTGAGGACTATCGCATGGGCTCCTGGCAATGGGAGGCTGTTCTTTGTAAGAGGAAGGAAGACACTTATGCCAACCTACAAGACTTAGGAGAATGTTGGGGTCAAAAGTTCTTAAGTCTGAATACCAAGTCTCATGGTCCTACTTCTTCTGCTGTACTGGGGGCCTGACTGACTGGGGCTGTGAATTCAGTCTCTTTTTTGATTCAAGCATGCTTACAGTAAAATTTTGAGCTCTGATTTTTGGCACAGTCCACCCTGTAGTTGCAGGAGATGAATGTCTCTTTAAATGGTGCCTCTGAGACTTTCCAGGTTTCATAAAGTGCCCTGAGCTGGTGGTGTACTTATCTGAGCTCAACAGATTCTGTTTCTTTAAGGCTTCAGTGGCAGACAACAAAAACTCATCAACTCCACAGCCCCTATAGCTGCCATTGCCATGTCTTTCAAGTGCTGGAGCTATGACATATCCTTTGATTCTCCTTCTACTTGTATATGTGCCCAGTCCATCACAGGGGAGTCTTAATGAATTGTGATGTTGCAAAAAGCATGCCACTTACTACCAGAATTTATATATATATTTTTTCCTGTCTGGTTGGTTAGTGATTTAATTCCAGAATCCTCTCCTGAGTTCTACTTTCCAGGATCATCTGGTACCAATTGTTCAGTTTGCATTTCTCCAAAAGTAGATCCTGAGAATTTGGGTGTGAGAAGTTTATTTGCGAGGTGATCCTAGGAAGCACTGTGAGGGAGTGGAGAAGTGAGACAGGAAAGAGAGAAAAGCTAAGAAAGGTTAGGTTAATGAGTGGGCTACCTGTGGAGGGGTCCTTGGAGCTCAGTCCAACTAGGGGTCCTCTGAGAGGCTGTGTGGAATGCTCCTCAGAATTGTCCCACTGAGGGCCATGTATCCACCAATGCCCATCCCTTATGGGTTGAGAGTTGCTCCTGGGGCATTAATTCATCAGCACTCTGGCCTGCCCTGCATGTAGCTAAGTAGAATCCAATACTAGACCAAGTTCTCTGGCAGCAAGACCTAAGAATCTGTTTGCATGTTTGGAACTTATGCAGGTGACCTCTGGAGTAGGCCAAGGGCATGTGGACTCCAGGCAGCCAATGTCTCCCTTTAGATCACAGCAGCCTCCTCACTGGCATCTTTCAAGGCTCCAAGCTGACTGTGCTGTTGTGCTGTTTAAAATCCTGCAATTCTTAGCATAAAGTGACTACTGCTCCCTGAGGGCCAGTGAAATGCCAGATGTCATATAAACATCTTCCCTTGCAATAGTGCATTTTCTCTTTACAAGAGCCTCATGATGTTCATCCACTGAGGAGAAAACTGAGGCTTAAGGAGGTTTGAATGCCTCTGATTGGTGCAGGAACTCCTTCATAATTCTGCCTCTGCCTGTTTCTCCTCCCTTGAGAGCCCTCTTCTTTGTCCCAGCCACACTGAGCCAGTTGTACTTACCCAAATAGACCCATCTCCACTCCTTTCTACCTTTCTTTTTTTTTCCCTTGATTTCATTAGGTTTTGGGGAAACAGTTGGTGTTTGGTTACATGGATAACTTCTTTAGTGGTGATTTCTGAGATTTTGGTGCACCCATCACCCAAGCAGTGTACACTATACACAATGTATAGTATTTTATCTCTTACCCCCCTTCTACCCTTTCCCCCAAGTTCCCAAAGTCCATTGTATTATTCTTATGCCTTTGTGTCCTCATAGCTTAGCTCCCACTTATGAGTGAGAACATACGATGTTTGGTTTTCCATTCCTGAGTTACTTCACTTAGTATAATGGTTCCAATTCCATCCAGGTTGCTGGGAATGCCATTATTTCGTTCCTTTTTATGGCTGAGTAGTATTCCATTATATATATATATTTTATATATATAATATATATATATACACACACCACATTTATATATACACACGTATATATGGGCATATATATGTATACACACACGTATATATCACATTTTCTTTATCCACTCATTGATTGATAGGCATTTGGACCAGTTCCACATTTTTGCAATTGCAAACTGTACTACTATAAACATACATGTGCAAATATCTTTTTCGTAAAATGACTTCTTTTCCTCTGGGTAGATACCCTCCAGGAGTGGGATTGCTGGATCAAATGGTGGATCACTTTTAGTTCTTTAAGGAGTCTCCATACAGTTTTCCATAGTGCTTTTACTAGTTTGCATTCCCACCAACAGAGTAAAAATGTTCCCTTTTTGCCACATCCACGTCAACATCTATTAGTTTTTTATTTTTTTGATTATGGCCATTCTTGCAGGAGTAAGGTGGTATCGTATTGTGGTTTTGATTCGCATTTCCCTGATCATTAGTGATGTTGAGCACGTTTTCATATGTTTGTTGACCATTTGTACATATTCTTTTGAGAATTGTCTATTCATGTCCTTAGCCCACTTTTTGATGGGATTGTTTGTTTTTCTCTTGCTCATTTGTTTGAGTTCCTTGTAGACCCTGGATATTAGTCCTTTGTCAGATGTATAGATTGTGAAGATTTTCTCCCACTCTGTGGGTTGTCTGTCTACTCTGCGGGTTGTCTGTCTACTCTGCTGATTATTTCTTTTTCTGTGCAGAACCTTTTTAGTTTAATTAAGTTCCTTCTATTTATCTTTGTTTTTGTTGTGTTTGCTTTTGGGTTCTTGGTCATGAAGTCCTTGCCCAAGCCAATGTCTAGAAGGGGTTTTCAAAGCTGTCTTCTAGAATTTTTATGATTTCAGGTCTTAGATTTAAGTCTTTGATCCATCTTGAGTTGATTTTTGTATAGGGTGAGAGATGAGGATCTGGTTTCATTCTTCTACATATGGCTTGCCACTTATCCCAGCATCATTTTGTTGAATAGGGTGCCCTTTCCCTATTTTATGTTTTTGTTTGCTTTGTTGAAGATCAGTTGATTCTAAGTATTTGGCTTTATTTCTAGGTTCTCTTTTCTGCTCCATTGGTCTATGTGCCTATTTTTATACCAGTACCATGCTGTTTTGGTGACTATGGCCTTATACTATAGTTTGAAGTTGGGTAATGTGGTGCATCCAGATTAGTTCTTTTTGTTTAGTCTTGCTTTGGCTGTGCAGGTTCTTTTTTTGGTTCCATTTGAATTTTAGGATTTTTTTTCTAGTTCTGTGAAGAATAATGGTGGTATTTTGATGTGAATTGCAAAGAATTTACAGATTGCTTTTGGCAGTATGGTGATTTTCACAATTTCACACAAGCATGGGATGTGTTTCCAATTGTTTGTGTCATCTATGATTTCTTTCAGCACTGTTTTGTAGTTTTCCTTGTAGAGGTCTTTCACCTCCTTGGTTAAGTATATTCCTAAGTATTTTATTTTTATTTTTGCAGCTATTGTAACAGGGGTTGAGTTCTTGATTTGATTCTCAGCTTGGTCACTGTTGGTGTATAGCAGGGCTACTGATTTGTGTATATTAATTTTTTATCCTGCAACTTTGCTGAATTCATTCACCAGTTCTAGGAGCTTTTTGGATGAGTCTTTAGGGGTTTCTAGGTATATGATCATGTCATCAGCAAACGGTGACAGTTTGACTTCCTCTTTACCAATTTGGATATCCTTTATTTCTTTTTCTTGTCTGATTGCTGTGGCTAGGACTTCCAGTACTATGCTGAATAGAAGTGGTGAAAGTGGGAGTCCTTGTCTTGTTCCAGTTCTCAAGGGGAATGCTTTCAACTTTTCCCCATTCAGTATAATGTTGGCTGTAAGTTTGTCATAGATGGCTTTTATTGACTTAAGTTACATCCCTTCTATGCTGATTTTGCTGAGGGTTTTAATCATAGAGCAATGCTGGAATTTGTCAACTGGTTTTTCCGCATCTATTGAGAGGATCATGTGATTTTTGTTTTAAATTCTGCTTATGTGGTGTATCACATTTATTGACTCATTTATGTTAAACCATCCCTGCATCCCTGGTATAAAACCCATTTGATCATGGTGGATTATCTTTTTGATATGCTGTTGGATTCAGTTATTTAGTATTTTGTTGAGGAGTTTTGCACCTATATTCACTGGGGATATTGGTCAGTAGTTTTCGTTATGTGCTTTCCTAGTTTTAGTATTAGAGTGATACTGGCTTCATAGAATGATTTATGGAGGATTCCCTCTCTATCTTTTGAAATAGTGTCAATGGGTTTAGTACCAATTCTTCTTTGAATGTCTGATAGAATTCAGCTGTGAACCCATCTGGTCCTGGACTTTATTTTTGGCAGCTTTTAAATTGCCATTTCAATCTCACTGCTTGTTATTAATCTGTTCAGAGTTTCAATTTCTTCTTAGTTTAATCTAGGAGGGTTGTATATTTCCAGGAATTTATCCATCTCCTCTAGGTTTTCTAAAGGTGTTCATAGTAGCCTTGAATGATCTTTTGTATTTCTGCGGTATCGGTTGTAAATGTTTCCCATTTCATTTCTAATTGTGCTTATTTGGATCTTCTTCTTTTCTTGGTTAATCTTGCTAATAGCCTACACATTTTATTTATCTTTTCAAAGAACCAGCTTTTTGTTTCATTTATCTTTGTATTTGGTTTGTTTCAATTTTATTTAGTTCTGCTCTGATCTTGGTTATTTCCTTTTTTCTGCTGGGTTTGGGTTTGTTCTTGCTTCTCTAGCTCCTTGAGATGTGATCTTAGATTATCTATTTGTCACACCTTTCTATCTTTCTATTGCAGTTTCCTTTACCTAGAATGCTTTTTCCTTTCTATGTCTTGCAAATACCTTTTTGTCTTTCAAGACCCAGCTCAGGTGACGCCTCCTCCAGGGAGTCCTCTTGGCCTGCCAGGCTGAGTTAGTTCCTCTTTGGTGCTGCCACATTCTCTGTGTTCTCTATGGGAACACTGACTTTGACTTTCTGGTATTCTGTTTGACTGTTTAAGTATTCATGCATGTGCCAGGAATGCTTGAATAGGTACTCAGTGGATATTTGCCAGGTGAATGAAGAATCAACTCACTCATTTTAGTTCCTACTCATTGCTAGCTTGTGCTATTTCTCCACTTTTTTTTTTTTTTTTAACATTTCTAAGTTTATTCAGGACCATGTTGTTGGCTTCTAGGGGAAAGCAGTCTCTGTTTTCTTGAAAGTTGGTTTTTCCTGGATTAGAAGCTTCAGGAGGGCAGGAAAATTAGTGCACCCTCTCATCAATATATCCCAGCCTCTAGCCCAGGCCTGGCATGAAGTGGAGCTAGACACACATAGCTGAATAAATGGATGAATAATGAGTACTCTTTATGATGTGCTTATTAATTGTGCTGTGTTCTGTGGATGGGGAGATGAATATGGCAAACAGGCCATGTTTCTGTCCTCCAATTTGGTTTTCTCCAGAAGCCTACCTTGAGAGAAGGGCTCATGTGCAAATAGCTTATTCGACAGGGGATCCCAGGAAGCACTTCTCCAGGAGAGAGGGAAAAGAGACAGGGCAGGTAGTGAGCCAACAGAGGGTATGGTACAGAAACAAGTTGCCACTGTGAGTAGCTGGAGCTTCACCCTGCGGGGGGACTGTGAGCACTCCAGTGTAGAACTCATGCCTTAGAATGATTCCACCTGAGGGGTGAGGGAGCTGATGTATTGATACACCAACTTTTGTCAATCCGTGGTTAAGGGATGGCCCATGGGTAGGAAGAAGGGGCTCTGGTAGCCAGAGGAAGCTCTTAGGTAAAGTAACATAGATGATCGAAGTTGGAAGGTGAGTAGACAGGCTGAGGAATGGTAAATAAGGACAAGGGGATATGGGTGGGGTATGGACAGGGTCATCCAGTGAGTGAGAGTCTCATGAACATGCCATTGTTGTACAGCCATGCTCCAGATGAAAATTCCTACAGGGGCAAGGCAGATAATGTAAATGAGAGAAGTGCTTGGGGTGACAGCAGGTTCCTCTTGAAAAGTTGCACACAACTCTCCCCTTTGCCACTTTCTCTTACTCTGACAGAAAGTTACTACTAGTTTCCAGGGGGATAAGTTTGGGATATTTCTTTAACACTTTCCTGCCATTGCAGTTGTTGGACCCCTTGTGGAAGGGACTGTGATAAGTGGAGAATATATGCCCGGTGCAAATGGGACTGAGGAGGCTGCTTCTCAGCGTCAGCAGCTACGCAAGAATCTGAGATGCAGGATATGGGGCCAAATCCAATTTTTTAAAAGAGAAGTGGTAATCTGGATATTTATTTGAAATTTCCTTATTTTAAATGTATTGAGTTGAGGGTGGGTGTCACGGATCATGCCTGTAACCCCAGCACTTTGGAAAGCTGAAATGGGAGGATGTCTTGAGGCCAAGAGTTTGAGACCAGCCTGGGCAACATAGGGAGACACATCATCACTTAAAGAAAAAAAGTATTGAGTTGAATACTTTCCCTCCGAAATTTATGTCTCCCTGGAACCTCAGAATATGACTTTATTTGAAAATAGTTTTTTTGCAGATGTGAGATGGAGTCATAGGGATTAGGGTGGGTCTTAATCCAATGTGTCTTTATCTAAGAAGAGAAAGCAAGAACAGAGACACAGAGGGAAGATGACCATGTGAAGACAGAGACAGAGATTGGAGTGATGCTGCCACCGCTGAGGAATGCCAAGTATTGCTGGCATCTACCAGAAGCTAGAAGAAGCAAGAAAGCATTTTCCCCTAGAGCCGTTGGCAGGAGCATACCTAACCGACACCTTGATTTCAGGCTCCTAGTCTCTAGAACTGTGAGAGGATAAATTTCTGTTACTTTAAGTCAGCCAGTTATGTTAGGCAGCTCTAGGCAACAGTTGGTAGTGACTTGTTTTTAAAAGCTGTGTGATGGCCTTCATAGTGAAGGAAAACACTACACATCTGAAGGCTGGCTGTGGTCCCTGAGTGGCCAGTGCACAACCTGTGGTGTACAGAGGGCAGGGGGCTCCAAGGAGGGAGCCCCTAATGGTGCCTGGGGCAAGCATGGAAGACTTCCCAGAGCAGGTGGACTGGAGGAATGTAGTCTTGAGTGTTCCCTGGGCTGACTGGAGGAAGGTGGACCCAAGGGAGTTTTGGAGAGCAGAGTTGACAGGACATGAAGGTTGATTGGCCACGGGGATGAGAACAAGAGAAGCACTGGGTCTGGCAGAGTTTTTGGGCTTGGTTGGCTGAGGGCATGGAGATGGCAAAGTCTGAGGAGGGGAGAAGGAAGTCAGCTCATTTGTTGACACTTTGGGTCAAAGGTTTCTGTGGGACATGCAAGTGGAGATGGAGAGGAGGCAGCTGGGCATGTGAGTCTGTGCTCAGGTGAAAGATTTGGGCTGAAGACAGAGATTTCAGGAATTGTCAGCAGGGAAAAAGAGGAGTCTACTGAGGAGTCAAAGGAGATGTGGGCAGAGAGATAGGAGGAAAACCTGGAGCGCTGGCATCAAAGGAGCATGGGAGGTTTTTAAGGAGGGAGGGTTGACACTGCTTCAGGCTGCTAAAGGGCTGCTTTGGTAAATAGAGAGGTTTCCTTTCATTGCTTGTTTGGAAAATTCACTAAGCCTCTTCAGAGAGGGTGAGAAACTTTCAAGAGGCGACAAGGGGCCTTTGTTTCAGAGGAGTAGGGTGGAGGTGGAAGCCAGGGGAGAGGAGAAGAGCATTTGGGCAGGAGGGGAGAAAGCGAAGACTGTGGCGGCGATCTGCTGGCGTGTGGAGCCAGCTTCACTTCTGGTGGGAAGCTGCCAGGAGAGAGGAACTGGTGGATGAAGAGGTGCATGGGCAGAGAGTAGCTTTGGGCCAGAGAAAGGACTCTGCTTTTCAGAGGGGCAGAAGGACAGGGGCAAGGATTGTGGAGGTTGCTGGCCACTGTTGAAAAGAAAGCTGCTAGGGGTTGTTTTGGGGCCACAGTTGGCTCTGTGAATCAGTCTGGGGTCACCCGCTAAGAGTGAGTGAGGGCCAAGGAAGGAGGGGATGCATCAGGAGAGAGGACCATACGGTCACCAGTGGACACAGCAGGGGCTGACCCAGGGCTCCTTGAAGGAGGTCCCGAAGCTCACTCTCCTTTGAAGTGTTCACCGTCCCATGCACACATTCTTCTTGAGGTACATGGTTGAGAGGTGCAAAGGCATTGTTCCCAAGTTATTGTTGTTAGCTGAAAAGGCCAACCTGTATTGGGACGTTGCATCCCTGTGAGGGACTCCAATGCTACGAAGCATGGCAGCAGATCTGATTTAACGCAGCAGGGCTGATTGAATATCTGCTGTGTCTCAGGCACTGGAACACCAATAATTTCTGTCACTCTATGAAATAACCCAGTGAGAATATTATCATTCTCCTTTTCCAGATAACAGAACTCCCTGCTTGGAGAATCCTGTGTGCCAGGCTGACCCTTTGCATTAATCGCATCATTTCATCTTCTCACCCTGCCTTGTTGAGGAAGAGAGGATCATTATTATTCTCGTTTTGCAGATGAAGAGGTTGCGGCAGAGGAGGATGTTTAAGTACTTGACCTAGGGGCACCCAGCTGCAATTGGAGGTCAGGCTTTGGAGACCAGGTGCAGCCTTCCTCCCATAGCAACATGCTCCCTCTCCTGGTGACATCTGTTTGGCATGCTCACTATCCAGATATTTGTCCCTGACAGGCCAGAAATTGGGCGTGTGAGACATGAGCAGGACCGGATCCTCTTCTCTTTGTCCACAACAGGGATGGTGAGCACGTCCAACAGACCTCCCACCTGCTCTTCGCTCTGACCTTTCATTCCCAAGAGTAAGCTGCTTGAGAGCAAAACATGGTGTCAGCCCTGGGCCTGGCATCAGGCTGCACTCAGCAGGTAAATGTGGCACATATTTTAGCAATTGGGATGAACAGGCACTTTCTGTCCCGTGCTGAGGTAGAGGGTGAGGTGGAAAGGGTCAAATGACCTGATTTTGAATCCTGGCCCTCGTATTGCATGGCTGTAGGTCCCTGTGCTGTCATGCAATCTTACTGGGCTTCAGTTCCCCATCTGAAATATGGGGGAAGATTTTTTCAACAGCACTCCACAAACCTGGAAACCAAGGGTCCTCCTCCATGTAGGGATTCAACAATATCATTATCACCATCGTCATCACCATCATCATCATCACCATCATCATCATCATCATAATCACCATCATCATTGCCACCACCATTATCACCATCACCATCACCATCATAACTGTCATCATTATCACCACCATCATCATCATCATCACCACCATCTTCATTGTCACCATCATCATCACCACCACCATCACCATCATCATCACCACCACCATCATCATCATCACCATCATCATCACCAACATCATTATACCATCACCATCATCGCCATCATCATCATTATCACTACCATCATCATCATCACCACCACCATCACCACCACCACCATCACCCCCACCATTACCATCATCATCATCACCATCATCACCATCACCATCATCACTATCATCATTATACCACCATCATCATCATCATCACCACCACCACCATCATCATCATCATCGTTGGCGTTTGTTGAATGTTAGCCATGTGCCAGGTGCTGTTCTGGAGCTTTACACGTGTTATCTCATTTCATCCTCACAACCTTGTGAGGTAGATAAGAAAAGCAAGGCACAGAGAAGTTAAATAACCCTGCCAGTAGGTGCTGGTGCCCATGCTGTGACTGAAGGCTGGCCACGCCACCTCCCATCCTGTTTCTTCAACTATGAAACGAGCTCCTGTACTCCATGACACAGTGAGTGCCCAGCACCTTGCACATAGTAACTGTCCATATGTGCGGGATCACTACGTTAGTAGTGCTTCCTCCCTTTATCGCCCCGAGTCTGTCTCCCGCGCCCTTCTTTTTTCTGCCATCTCTTTTTAGTGTATTTTCTGTCCCTTTATATTCTCTCCCAGTCTCCTACCTTCTCCCACCCCATTCCCAAGACCCTCTCGGTTTTCTCTGCCTGTCCTCTGCTGCCCCCGTGTGGTATAATATAGAAAGTCAGTTCCTCGCGTGCCCCACTTTATCCCGGCCGCCGCGCACCTGGGTTTAACGCTGGAGGTGAGCGCTGGTAGATACAGGTGTGGACCGCCCTATGCATCCATGGGGCCGGGGCTGTGGGTTTGGCGCCGAGCCCCTGACTTGACTCACTCTCTGGATTTATTTTTACCTTGTTCTTGGTGCGGGGGACAGAGGCCTGGCTGCAGCCTCAGTTCCGAGTTAACAGCGGGTACTGACGTGCTCTTTCCTGAGCCTCAGCGCCAAAGGAGGGCTTTGGCCTGGGTGCAGGACCTCCTTTTTTGCCTCTAGAATTCAGCGAGATTTGAACTCTCAAGCCTTGTGCAGTTGACCCTACAGACGCCTCCCCTCATATGGTAACCGAGGGTTAAAATGCGTTCACAGAGGATTGTATTCACCTTCATGTCACAATGCCAATGAAAGACAGCCTTGGGATGTGAGCCCAATCTTCAAGTTCTTTCACATCACCCAGCCGCTTTTCAGAGCTTAATTATCCTCCCGTCAGAAGCCTGATGAACATCCTATTTCTAAACTGTTTTATATGGTTTCACAACATTTAGTTCTTTTATGTGCTTAAATATATTTTAAAATTGCACAAGCAATGCATGTCATTGTAGAAGATTAGAAAACATAGCAAAGGACTTCCAGTTGATGATGACAGGTTGGACATGTGGTTTTTCCTGAAACTCTACTAAAATGACAGCAAAGAGATTTTATTAAAATATTCAAACCCACAAGGACAAAGAGAACAACAGCGAAGACAGTAGCATTAAAATCTTCTTCTAGCTGTATTAAGGTATAATTGACAAAAATTGTATATATTTAAGGTGTACAACATGATGTTTTGATATAGGCATACATTGTGAAATGATTCCACAACCAAGCTAATTAACGTATCTGTCACCTCATACAGTTACCTTTTTTTTTTTTTTCTTTTTTGGTGTAGTGAGAATACTTAAGTCTTACCCTCCTAGCAAATTTCAAGCAGCATTTTGGAAGCTGGAGCAGAGAGCAACATTTGACGCAACAGACCTCAGAAAGCTGCATCTTACACCCTAACAGGTCTACATGAGCAACTGGGTTTACACTGGGAACCCCCAGAATACTCAGGCACTTCTAGAAGTAGGTTAGGCTAAAAACAGAAAGTAGTTAGAGCCCTTGATTCTTCTTCCTGCAGTCAGATGACACTCTCCCCCTATAATCCAGAAGACTAGAGGTTTATTTAGAGAGGATAAAACAGAGGGTCTGTGGCCTGGGAGGGGAGGTGCTTGGGAGTGGGAACCCTGTACTGAACACAGATTAGGTGAATGTTTATGTCCTGCATGTTCAGCACAGCACCCTTTTGCTGCCTCACTGGGCTCCTAGCACCTCCTTCCAGGCAGGAGACTGGAAGATGGTACTGAGTTGGTGTGGGGAGACACCCAATGAAATGGCCCAGTCAGAACACCCCGACTCCAGGGCTGCCTACTGTCAACAAACCAGACCCATGTGCACACAGTACCTGACCAGCTTTTAAATTTTCTCTTTTAAAAAATTTTTCTCCCTAAATTTCAGACAGGGAAAAAATTATAAGAATTCCTATCTACTTTTCACACCAGATTCCCCTAATATGTGCATTTTAAAAAATATAAGGATGCCCCTTTATCCCTTTACATGCTTTTAAACTTTGAAATGGGTTTTAGGCTGGGCGCTGTGGCTTATGCCTGTAATCCCAGTACTTTGGGAGGTCAAGATAGGAGGATGGTTTGAGCTGAGAGTTCAAGACCAGCCTGGGCAACATGGTGAAACCCCTTCCCTACAAAAAAAAAAAAAAAATTAGCCAGGTGTGGAGATGGGCACCTGGAGTCCCAGCTACTTGGGAGGCTGAGGTGGGAGGATTGCTTGATTCCAGGAGGCAGAGGTTGCTGTGAGGCAAGATCATGCTACTTGCACTTCAGCCTGGATGACAGAGTCAGACTCTGTTAAAGAAAGAGAAAAGAAAGAAAGAAAGAAAGAAAGAAAGAAAGAAAGAAAGAAAGAAAGAAAGAAAGAAAGAAAGAAAGAAAGGGAGAAGGAAAGAGAGAGAAAGAAAGATGGAGGGAAGGGAAGCGAAGGGAAGGGAAGGAGGGAGGGAGGGAGGAAGGAAGGAAGGAGAAGGGAAGGGAAGGGAAAGAAGGAAGGAAGGAAGGGACTTTGATTCAGGGCTATTATTTTATGTAACGAACTTATTTAGGTTTTGCCAACTGTGCCTATAATGTCCTTTAGAGCAGAAAAATTCCAGATTTTGTACTGCATTTAGTTGTCATGTCTCTTTAGCCTCTTTTAATCTGTAGCAGTTCCTTAGTTTTTCTTTGCCTTCATGACATTAACATTTTTTTCAAGAGTATAGGACACGTATTTTGCAGGATGTCTCTCAGTTTGAATTTGTTTAATGTTTCCTACAAGCTACATTTAGGTCGTGCACTGTTGGCAGGAACATCACAGAAGTGATGCTGTGTTTTTCTCAGTGCATCATATCAGGAGGCACATGGTATCTATTACTGTTGCTGGTGATGTTAACTTTAATCACATGTTTAAGGAGGTGCCTGCCAGGTTTCTCCAGTGTAGTTATTGTTTTTCATTTTGTAATTAATAAGCACCTATCTCTTACTAGTTTTAGCATCACTGATGATTCTTGCTTGAATCAATTGTTATAATGATGCTATCTGGTGGTAATTTTCTAATTCCACTATTTTTTCTATATTTATCAGTTTGTTTTCAACTATCAGGAAGAGCTTTCCCTTGTGTAGTGAATTCTTAGAAATTATGTTGCCCTGCATTTTTTTTTTTTTTTTTGAGACAGAGTCTCTCTCACCCAGGCTGGAGTGCAGTGATGTGATCTTGGCTCACTGCAACCTCCACCTGCTGGGTTCAAGCAATTCTCCTGCCTCAGCCTCCCAAGTAGCTGGAATTACAGGCATGTGCCTGTAATTTTTGTTGGTTTATTTGCTTTTTAGAATGTGAGGTTTTCATTTATTCACTTATTTATTTATTTACTTTTTAAAATTTTATTTTAAGTTCTAGAATACATGTGCAGAACGTGCAGGTTTGTTACATAGGTAAACGTGTGACATGGTGATTTGCTGCACCTACCAACCCATCACCTAGGTATTAAGCCCCACATGCATTAGCTATTTGTCCTGATGCTCTCCCTCCCCTCGCCTCACTGAGAGGCCCCAGTGTGTGTTGTGTCCTTCCCTGTGTCTCTGTGTTCTCATTGTTCAACTCTCACTCACGAGTGAGAACACGTGGTGTTTGGTTTTCTGCTCCTGTATTAGTTTGCTGAGGATGATGGCGTCTAGCTTCATCCATGTCCCTGCAAAGGACATGATCTCATCCCTTTTTGGCTGCATAGTATTCCATGGTGTATATGTGCCTTATCCAGTCTATCATTGATGGGCATTTGGTTCCATGTCTTTGCTATTGTGAATAGTGCTGCAATAAACATACGTGTGCATGTATCTTTATAACAGAATGATATATATTCCTTTGGGTATATGTCCAGTAATGGGGTTGCTGGGTCAAATGGTATTTCTGGTTCTAGATCCTTGAGGAATCACCACACTGTCTTCCACAATGGTTGAACTAATTTACATTCCCACCAACAGTGTAAAAGTGTTCCTATTTCTCCACAGACTTGCCGGCATATGTTGTTTCTTGACTTTTTAATAATTACCATTCTGACTAGCAGGGGATGATATTTCATTGTGGTTTTGATTTGAATTTCTCTAATGATCAGTGATGTTGAGCTTTTTAAAATACGTTTGTTGGCTGCATAAATGTCTTCTTTTGAGAAGTGTCTTTTCATGTCCTTTGCCCACTTTTTGAAGGGATTGCTTTTCTTTTTTCTTCTAAATTTGTTTAAGTTCATTGTAAATTCTGGATATTAGACCTTTGTCAGATGGGTAGATTGCAAAAATTTTCTCCCATTTTGTAGGTTGCCTGTGCACTCTGATGATAGTTTCTTTTGCTGTGCAGAAGCTGTTTAGTTTAATTAGATCCCATTTGTTAATTTTAGCTTTTGTTGCAATTGTTTTTGGTGATTTCATCATAAAGTCTTTGCCCATGCTTATGTACTGAATAGTATTATCTAGATTTTCTTCTAGAGTTTTTACAGTTTTGAGTTTTACATTTAAGTCTTTAATCCATCTTGAGTTAATTTTTGTATAAGGTGTAAGGAAGGGATCCAATTTGTTTTCTGCATATGGCTAGCCAGTTTTCTCAGCACCATTTATTAAATAGGTAATCCTTTTCAATTGCTGATTTTTGTCAGGTTTGTCGAAGATCAGGTAGTTGTAGATGTGTGGTCTTATTTCTGAGGTCTCTATTCTGTTTCATTGGTCTATGTGTCTGTTTTGGTACCAGTACCGTGTTGTTTTGGTTACTGTAGCCTTATAGTATAGTTTGAAGTCAGGTAGTGTGATGCCTCCAGTTTTGTTCTTTTTGCTTAGGATTGTCTTGGCTATATGGGCCCTTTTTTGGTTCCATATGAATTTTAAAGTAGTTTTTTCTAATTCTGTGAAGAGTGTCAGTGGTAGTTTGATGGGAATAGCATTGAATCTGTAAATTACTTTGGGCAGTATGTTTATTTCCATGACATTGATTCTTCCTATCCATGAGAATGAAATGTTTTTTCATTTGTTTGTGTCCTCTATTATTTCCTTGAGTAGTGGTTTGTAGTTCTCCTTGAAGAGGTCCTTCACATCCCTTGTTAGCTGTATTCCTAGGTGGCATTTTATTCTCTTTGTAGCAATTGTGAATGGGAGTTCATTCATGATTTGGCTCTCTGCTTGTCTATTGTTGGTGTATAGGAATGCTTGTGATTTTTGCACCTTGATTTCGTATCCTGAGAATTTGCTGAAGTTGCTTATCAGCTTAAGGAGCTTTTGAGCTGAGACTATGGGGTTTTCTAGATATAGAATCATGTCATCTGCAAACAGGGACAATTTGACTTCCTCTCTTCCTATTTGAATACCCTTTATTTCTTTCTCTTGCCTGATTGCCCTGGACAGAACTTGCAATACTATGTTGAATAGGACTTGTGAGAGACAGCATCCTTATCTTGTGCTGGTTTTCAAAGGGAATGCTTCCAGCTTTTGCCCATTCAGTATGATATTTGTTGTGGGTTTGTCAAAAATAGCTCTTATTACTTTGAGACATGTTCCATCAATACCTAGTTTATTGAGAGTTTTTAACATGAAGGGATGTTGAATTTTATCAAAGGCCTTTTCTGCATCTATTGAGATAATCATGTGGTTTTTGTCATTGGTTCTGTTTATATAATGGATTGCATTTATTGATTTGCATATGTTGAACCAGAGTTGCATCCCAGGGATGAAGCTGACTTGATCATTGTGGATAAGCTTTTTGATGTGCTGCTGGATTCAGTTTTCCAGTTTTTATTGAGGATTTTCTTATCAATGTTCATCAGGGATATTGGCCTGAAGTCTTCTTTTTTTGTTGTGTCTCTACCAGGTTTTGGTATCAGGATGATGCTGGCTTCATCAAATGAGTTAGGGAGGAGTCCCTCCTTTTCAATTGTTTGGAATAGTTTCAGAAGAAATGGTATGAACTCCTCTTTGTACCTCTGATAGAATTTGGCTGTGAAACCATCTGGTCCTGGGCTTTTTTTGGCTGGTAAGCCATTTGTTACTGCCTCAACTTCAGAACCTGTTATTGGTCTATTCAAGGATTTGACTTCTTCCTGGTTTAGTCTTGGGAGGGTGTATGTGTCCAGGAATTTATCAATTTCTTCTAGATTTTCTAGTTTATAGTAGGACACCTCTGCATAGAGGTGTTTATAGTATTCTCTGATGGTAGTTTATATTTCTGTGGCGTCAGTGGTGATATCCCCTTTATCATTTTTTATTGTGTCTATTTGATTCCTCTCTCTTTTCTTCATTAGTCTACCTATTTTACTATTTTTTTTTTCAAAAAACCAACTCCTGGATTCATTGATTTTTTTGAAGGATTTTTCATGTCTCTGTCTCCTTCAGCTCCAGTCTGATCTTAGTTATTTCTTGTCTTCTGCTAGGTTTTGGATTTGTTTGCTCTTGCTTCTCTTGTTCTTTCAGTTGTGATGTTACAGTGTCGATCTGAGATCTTTCTAGCTTTCCGATGTGGTTATTTAGTGCTATAAATTTCCCTCTTAACACCGCTTTAGCTGCGTCCCAGAGATTCTGGTACATTGTCTCTTTGTTCTCATTGGTTTCAAAGAACTTCTTGATGTCTGCCTTAATTTCATTATTTCTCCAGGAGTCACTCAGGAGCAGGTTGTTCAGTTTCCATGTAGTTGTGAGGTTTTGAGTGAGTTTCTTAATCTTGAGTTCTACTTTGATTGCACTGTGGTCTGAGAGATTGTTTGTTATGATTTCAATGCTTTTGCATTTGCTGAGGAGTGTTTTACTTCCAATTCTGTGATTGATTTTAGAATAAGTGTCATGTGGCACTGAGAAGAATGTATATTCTGTTGTTTTGGAGTGGAGAGTTCTGTAGATATCTATCAGGTCCACTTGATCCAGAGCTGAGTTCAAGTTCCAAATATCTTTGTTAGTTTTCTATCTCATTGATCTGTTTAACATCGACAGTGGGGTGTTAAAGTCTCCCACTATTATTGTATGGGAGTCTAAGTCTCTTTGTAGGTCTCTAATGACTTGTTTTATGAATCTAGGTGCTCCTATATTGGGTACATATGTATTTAGGATAGTTAGCTCTTCTTGTTGAATTGATCCCTTTACCATTATGTAATGCCTTTCTTTTGTCTTTTTTGATTTTTGTTGGTTTAAAGTCTGTTTTGTTAGAAACTAGGATTGCAACACCTGCTTTTTTCTGCTTTCCATTTTCTTGGTAAATTTGCCTCCATCCTTTTATTTTGAGCCTCTGTGTGTCTTTGCACGTGAGATGAGTCTCTTGAATACAGCACACTGATGGGTTTTGACTCTTTATCTAATTTGCCAGTCTGTGTCTTTTAATTGGGGCATTTAGCCTATTTACATTTAAGGTTAATATTGTTATGTGTGAATTTGATCCTGTCATCATGATGCTAGCTGGTGACTTTGCACACTAGTTGATGAAGATTCTTCAGAGTGTCATTGGTCTTTGTATTTCAGTGTGTTTTGCAGTGGCTAGTACTGGTTTTTCCTTTCCATGTTTAGTACTTCCTTCAGGATCTCTTGCAAGGCAGGCCTGGTGGTGATGAATTCCCTCAGTATTTGCTTGTCTGAAAAGGATTTTATTTCTCCTTCACTTATGAAGCTTAATTTGGTCAGATATGAAATTCTGGGTTGAAAATTCTTTTCTTTAAGAATGTTGTATATTGCCCCCCACCCCCACCCCACTCTTTTCTGGCTTGTAGGGTTTCTGCTGAGAGATTCACTGGTAGTCTAATGGGCTTCCCTTTGTAGGTGAGCTGGCTTTTCTCTCTGGCTGCCCTTAACATTTTTCCCTTCATTTTGACCTTGGAGAATCTGATGATTATGTGTCTTAGGGTTGATCTTCTCATGGAGTATCTTACTGGGGTTCTCTGTTTTTCCTGAATTTGAATGTTGGCCTGTCTTGCTAGGTTGGGGAAGTTCTCCTGGATGATATTCTGAAGTGTATTTTCCAACTTGGTTCCATTGTCCCCGTCTCTTTTAGGTACTTCAGTCAGTCGTAGGTTCAGTCTTTTTACACAGTCCCATAGTTCTTTGAGGTTTTGTTCATTTTTTTTGTTTGTTTTTCATTCTTTTTTCTCTAACCTTGTCTGCCTGCCTTATTTCAGCAAGCTGGTCTTCAAGCTCTGATTATCTTTCTTCTGCTTGATTGATTTGGCTATTGATACTTGTGTATGCTTCATGAAGTTCTCATGCTGTGTTTTTCAGCTCCATCAGGTCATTTATTGTCCTCTTTAAACTGGTTATTCTAGTTAGCAGCTCCTGTAACCTTTTTTTTTTTTTTTTGAGATGGAATCTCGCTCTGTTGCCCACACTGGAGTGCAGTGGCACCATCTCAGCTCACTGCAAGCTTCGCCTCCTGGGTTCACACCATTCTCCTGCCTCAGCCTCCTGAGTAGCTGGGACTACAGGTGCCCACCACCACGTCTGGCTAGTATTTTGTATTTTTTCTAGTAGAGACGGGGTTTCACCATGTTAGCCAGGATGGTGTTGATCTCCTGACCTCGTGATCTGCCTACCTCAGCCTCCCAAAGTGCTGGGATTACAGGCGTGAGCCACCATGCCCAGCCTCCTGTAACCTTTTATCATGGTTCTTAGCTTCTTTGCATTGGGTTAGAACATGCTCCTTTACTTCAGTTAAATTGTTATTAAGCACCTTTGGAAGCCTACTTCTGTCAATTCATCCATCTCACCCTCCATTCAGTTCTGTGCCCTTGCTTGAGAGAGGTGTTGCAATGAGTTGGAGGAGAAGAGGCACTCTGACCTTTTGGGTTTTCAGCATTTTTTCACTGATTCTTTCTCATCTTCATGAGTTTGCTTGATTTTGATCTTTGAGGCTGCTGACGCTTGGATGAGGTTTTCATGGGGACTTTTTTTTGTTGATGCTGTTGTTGTTGCTTTCTGTTTGTTTTTCTTTCAATAGTCAAGTCCCTCTACTGTCTCTACTGTAGGGCTGCTGCAATTTGCTGGGGGTTCATTTCAGGCTGTATTCATCTGGGTCACTTCTGCACCTGGAGGTGTCACCCAAGGAGGATGGAGAACAGCAAAAATGGGTGCCTGCTCCTTCCTCTGGGATCTCTGACCTCGAGGGGCACCAACGTGATGCCAGTAGGAACATTCCTGTATAGGGTGTCTGGTGACCCCTGTTGGGTAGTCTCACTCAGTTGCAGGGTACAGGAACCAGGACCCATTTAACAAAGCACTTTGGCTGTCCCTTGGTGGAGGGGATGTGCTGTGCTGGGGGGAAACGCACTTGTCTAAGTTGCCTGGATTCCTCAGAGCTTGCAGGAGGAAAGACTAAGACTGCTGGTCCTTGGAGACCATGGCCAACCCTCCCACTAGGGGCTCAGGCCCAGAGAGATCAGAGTTCTGTCCCTGAGCCCTTGGTTGGAGTCGTTGGAGTTCCTGCCGGGAGGCCCTGCCCAGTGAGGAGGGATGAGCCAGGGTCTGGCCTAAAGAGGCAATGTGGTCACGGCCTGCCACAGCCAGTGTGCTGTGCTGTGGGGAATACCTCTTGGACCAAGCTGTCCAGTCTCCCCGGCTCCAGAAGGGGAAAAGCGCGGCCTGGAACTATAGTGATGGCTGCCGCTCTTCCCCCTGGTAACTTAGTGTCTTAGGTAGCTAGCAGCAGCCAGCAGCAGTGATGGCTGCTGCCCCTCCCTCAGGGAGCTCAGACGGCTTAGACAGCAGGCAGTAGCAGTGGTGAGGGCCGCCTCTCAGTCAGGGAGCTCGGTTGTCTCAGACAGCCGCAGTGGTGGCTGCCGCCCCTCCCCCAAGGAGCTCAGATGGCTTCAGCAGCAGGCAGCAGCACTGTTAATGGCCGCCCCTCCCACTGGGAACTGGGTGGTCTTAGACAGATTCCAGCCGAGTGGCTATTGACAATCTGCGTGGCTCCGTGGTTGGGACCCAAGGCCCGGTGGTGTGGCCTCACAATTCCAAGTAAAAAGCATTGTTTCCCTGGCTGGGTACCATGCTCACTCACTGCCTCCCTTGGCTGCGGGTAGGGGCTCCCCTGCCCCGTGTGGCTCTCGGGTGGGCTGACGCACCACCCTGCTCTTCCCTCCTCTCCATGGGTCATGCCAATCGCCTAGTCAGACCTGATGACAGAACCTGGACACTTCAGTTGCTGGTGCAGGATTTGCATGCTGTTTTGGCTCTTGCAGTCGGCCATCTTGGCCCCGCCCCAATTTTTGTATTTTAGTAGAGTCAGGGTTTCACCATGTTGGCCAGGCTGGTCTTGAATTCCTGACCTCAAGTGATCTGCCTGCCTCGGCCTCCCAAAGTGCTGGGATTACAGGCGTGAGCCACTGTGCCCGGCCCTCTGCATTCATTTTGAATATAAGTTTAAATTTCCCATAATAGGAACAGGGCTCAGTCACCCTTGACAGCTTCCAGGTCTACACCACACCCAAATGGCCCAAGCCAGTGTTCAGAGAGAAGTTCTTTGAGACATTTCTCCCTGCCAGCAGAGTGGGGTCCTTACTTTCCTGCCACTTCCTTTAAATGGACGTTCAGACATTTGCTTGTAAACTTAGTGACTCACCCTATTCCCTAATATATGCCACTAATTGCCCCACGCTTTCCTCTCAATTGCCTCACGCTTTTCTATTTCTGCCTGACTTTTCCTTCCTGCCTCCTATGATTTGGGGCTGAAGAGCTGCTGCCCTCCCAACTCATGGTTCCCTCCTTGTCCAGGATCTGCAAGTAAAGATGCTTTGAACTTGTTTCCTATTGTGGTGGTGTATTGAATTTGTGCCTTGTATCTGAAGAACCAAGGGCTGTCCTAGGCTGGGTTTTCCCCAGTATGCCAGGGAGAACACAAGGTTGAATTCCTGGTGCCAGAGCGACAGTCAGGCAGATATAAACTAGACAGGTCAGGCAACAGCTGCCAGGACATCTGCCAGCATAAACAAGTTTCCCATGTGAGGCACCCCTGGTGATGGGCATTAGGCCATCCTACAGGTAAAACGATTATTCTGTGAAAGGCACACTATAAACGCCCTCATCCAGTTCCATTCATTTGCTGTTAGAACAGCATTGCTAGCCGCTCTGGCACTGGAATCCCAATTTAGCTGGGGGCTCTCAAATCAACTGGCCATGAAGGATGGGATGTGTTAGTGCAGGGTATACACCTCACAATGTCTATTAGCTGTGAATGGCGTACTAACGGCCTCTTCCAGATGGCCCAGTCCCTTTGGGAAGGAACCACTGCTTGCTAGTAACTATAGCTGCTTTGCACTGCTGTGTCGTGCTGTTGTCAGGTATTGCCTTGGGGATTCTCTCGAAATTGTGGTGGCTGTGGATAGCACTTGGAACCATAGGACTCCCCTGCAGCTCTCTGCAGGCAGGTCCCAGTATAAGAAGGATGTGTTTTCCTGCATGGCGTCAGCTGTCCTTCCTAGGATTGGGTCCTTAGACAATGGGCTACTACTTTAGGTTATGTAGCCCTTTGTGCCAGGTACACAGTTCCAATGACCTAGGATCTTGTTAGTAATCAGGACTGTGCTGGCTATAGGTTGTGAAATCCTGGCGTTGAGCAAGAGCGAGCTGGTCAAGATGGTGGAGCTCTACCTCCATCTCGCTGGTGATAGAGATACAGGCTCCCAGGCTCCTGCAGAGCAAGGATTCCCCCGTAGGAAAGTCAGAGAGGGTGATACAATGCTGGGCTTTCTGTGTTGGTGACGTGTAGCTGGGGTGAAAGGATCAAATTGCCTAACCCTAACCTCAGAGGGGGGTGACTTCACCTGAGTCCTCATGAAGCCTTGCAAGAGTAGGTGCCACGGGGGCATGTGCCTCTTCTGTTGCCGCATTCCTTGCTGCTGTCTCCTTTTGTCCCCAACTCCAGGGAGTATCATGGGTCTAATCACTGGCACTGTAGTGGGCAAATACAAATGCCATGAACACCTGATCCCTGCCCCACTAAAGACACCAGTGGATGTAAAGAAGCTCTTAGATAAATGCAAATCTCCCACGGAAGCTGTGTGAGTTTTGCTCAGTGCTGCTGCCTGTAAACATGCAAAGCTCTAGTGCCACACTCCTGGGGTTTGGGAGCCAACCCTAGCAGTAATTTAAAAAATGATTGTACTGGTAGATACGGACCCTGATCCTTCAGAGGAGTGATGGGCACACCCTGCAACAGGAGACAGCGGCATATGAGTCTACAATAAGGTACCTCTTCCCCAGGTGTTCCTCGTCATTATGCACTGAACCAAAACGACCCAAGATAATCAGCCGGACCAAGAAGCGGGAAGCATAAATGGAGACTGTCACTCACCACAGAGGTTACTTGATGCCACTACGAACTTATCAGGAAAAAATTCAGAAAGAGTGAGAAAAGAAAAAATATATATACAGACATACCTGGGAAACAGTGCATATTTAGTTCCAGACCACAACAATAAAGTAAATATCTTAACAAAGAAAGTCACACAAATTTTTTGGTTTCCTAGTACATATAAAGTTATGGTTACATGATACTGCAGCCTACTAAGTGTGCAATAGCACCATGTCTGAAAAACAATGTACATACCTTAAATAAAAAATACTTTATTGCTAAAAAACACTAATAATCATCAGAGCCTTCAGTGAGTGGTAATCTTTTTGCTGGTGGAGGATCTTGCCTCAGTGTTGATGGCTGCTGACTGATCAGGGTGGTGGTTGCTGAAGATTGGGGTGGTTGTGGCCATTTCTTAAAATAAGATGAAAATTAAGTTTGCCACATCAATTGACTCTTCCTTTCACAAAATATTTTTCTGTAGTGTGTGATGCTGTTTCATGGCATTTTAACCACAGTTAAACTTTTTTCAAAATTGGAATCAGTCCTCTCAAACTCTGCCACTGCTTTATAAACTAAGTTTAAGTAAAATAATAAATTCTTTCTTGTCATTTCAACAATGTTTACAGCATCTTCACCAGAGTAGACTCATCTCAATAAACCACTTTCTTTGCTTATCTGTAAGAAGCAACTCTTCATTTGTTCAAACCTGATCATGAGACTACAGCAATTCAGTCACATCTTCAGGCTCCACTTCTACTTCTAGTTCTCTTGCTGTTTCTACCACATCTGTAGTTACTTCCTCCACTGAAGTCTTGAGCCACTAAAAGTCATCCATGAGGGTTGGAATCAACTTCTTCCAAACTCCTGTTAATGTTGATATTTTGACCTCCTCCCATGAATTATGAATGTTCTTAATGGCATCCAGGATGGTGAATCCCTTCCAGAAGGTTTTCTATTTACTTTGCTGAAATCCATCAGAGGAATCACTGTCTATAGCAGCTATAGCCTTACAAAAGGTATTTCTTAGATAATAAGACTTGAAAGTCAAAATTACTCCTTGCTCCATGGGCTGCAGAATGGACCTGGTGTTAGCAGGCATGAACACAGCATTCATCTCCTTGTACATCTCCATCAGAGATCTTGGGGGAACAGGTGCATTGTCACTGGGCAGTAATATTTTGAAATGAATCTTTTCTTCTAAGCAGTAGGTCTCAACAGTGGGGTTAAAATATTCAGTAAACCATGCTGTAAACAGATGTGCTGTCATCCTGGCTTTGTTGTTCCATTTCTAGAGCACGGGCAGAGTAGATTTAGCATAGTGCTTAGGGGCCCTAGGATTTTTAGAATAGTAAATGAGCATTGGCTTCAACTGACAGTCACCATCTGCATTAGCCCGTAACGAGAGACTCTTCCTTCCTGCCTCACATGATCTGGGGATGGAGGACAACTCTCCCAACTCATGGCTCCCTCCCTGCCCAGGATCTGCAAGTAAAGAATCTTTGAACTTGTTTCCTTTTGTGGTGGTGCATTGAATTTGCACCTTGCATCCAAAGAACCAGGGACTACCCCAGGCTGGGTTTTCCCCAGCTTACCAGGGAGAACAGAAGGTCAGGTTCCCAGAGCCAGAGCGATGGTCAGGCAGGCACAAACAGACATGGGTCAGACAGGAATCACAGCGGTCTATACATCTGGCAGTCTAAACAAGTTTCCTGTGTGAGGGACTCTCGGTCACAATTTAGGCAAGTAGGCATTAGGCCACCTGCCAGCTAAAAGAAGCATCCTGTGAAAGACACACCGTAAACACCCACATCCAGGCCCCCTTTGTCTCCCATTAAGGCTGGGTGGCTAGCTGCTCTGGCACTGGACCTCAATTTAGCTGGGGGCTCTCAAAACATCCTTGTCCCATATATTTATTTATTAAGTTATATCAGTGCAGACTGTTGGATTGTATTTCAACCAAAAGCCATAGTTGTTACTACATATATGTGTGTGTGTGTGTGTGTGTGTGTGTGTGTGTGTGCTCAATTTGCTCTATGTTTCCCCATCGGAGGCCCCTTCAAGCTGGCTCTTATGTCATTTTGGTATATGTCCCGAATTGTTTGAGTACTTTCTGTCACAGAGAGATGTTCTGGGCTCATCTACTACTTTTCCCGCCCCAGGCCAGGAATTAGCCAGATTTTCAACCAAACTTTTTGTTGTTGTTGTTTGTTTTTTTAAATAATGCCTCACATAGACAGCCAAAGATAATGAGAGAGCCAAGGAGAGCTTCCAGGAGGAAAGATAGAGACAAAACAGAAGAAACAGATACAAGTTACTTGGCAGAAGCAGAGACTAACCAGGGAGATAAGAACTTAAAAAACAATCAACGTGCTATCATTAATATTTTCAGATCCAAGAGAAGCTGTTGCATCCATTAAAGAAGAACAAGATGCCACGACAAGGAATGATCAGGGAAGAAAAAAACTCTTGGATGTTAAACGTTTGAGAGCATAAATAAAAAGCTCAATTACGAGGGGTTATGAGATAAAGCTGAGGGAGTATCTAGAAAGGTAAAGCAAGAAGATACAGATGGAAAATATATAAGCAAAAATACAACAAATCAGAGATCCAAATTCTGAAAGGAAAGGGAGCAGGGAAAACGGAGGCGAGGTCCCTGGTACCAGGGGGCTGGGTGTAGGCAGACATGAGTAAATCAGGCCTTTTATAGAAGGAGGGATAGAGCTTCCTGCTTCGGGGTGTTGAAAGGGTTGCTGGCCAGTAGTGTGCTAGCAAAACTTTAGTAACCAACTCTCCAAAAATGTATGTATATTTATACATACATAACTTCATTATAAATTTTACCCATATGAATAACACAAAATTTATAATAATAAAATATACAATATTCTTTAATGTAAATTCTAAATAGCGAGTTGATTTTCTCAGGATTCTTTCACTGTTTTTTGCCAAACTCATATCTGTGGCTAACTGATGGTTGTGATTCAACCATAACTTCACAGATGGAATTGCATCTCAATCTGCTGTTTTTCAAAAAAATTATTGTCATTACTTTTTTTTTTTTTTGAGACAGAGTCTCGCTCTGTTGTCCAGGCTGGATTGCAGTGGCGCGATCTCGGCTCACTGCAAGCTCTGCCTCCAGGGTTCACGCCATTCTGCTGCCTCAGCCTCCTGAGTAGCTGGGACTACAGGCGTCCGCTACCATGCCAGGCTAATTTTTTATATTTTTAGTAGAGATGGGGTTTCACCGTGTTAGCCAGGATGGTCTTGATCTCCTGACCTGGTGATCCACCTGCCTCGGCCTCCCAAAGTGCTGGGATTACAGGCTATATAATTTAATTTTTAATAATAGTGATGTTTACCAACTGGTTTGCAAGATACTTCCAATTTAATGATTGGCTCTTGTAATCTGGTATGAGTCAGCTCCGGCACAGCACTGCTGTTGGGTGAAAAAGGGCACAACTTTGCTCTAAGTAGCTCCTAACAGAATCTATACCAATAGTGGAGATGACTGAGAGGGAGCTAAAAGGAAAGACTTCTATGGTAAAGACTGCTGGTTCCCAATACCCATAACACTCTCAATTCATTGTTGAACATATGGTTGACTAGAATACAGACTGCACTCTCCAGTCTTCCTTGCAGCTAGATGCAGCCAGGTTATTATATTCTGGTCAATGAGATGTAAGTGGAAGTGATGCTCAAAACTTATGTGAGATGTCCTTAAGAGATTGGATGCGCCCTTCTTCTCTTTATTCTTTTCCCTTTTATATGGAATGTGGGTATAGATGTTTCTACCAGTAGCTGCCTTAAATCCTGAGGTATCCTTGGAAATGGAGACTAAGCATAGCCGAGAAATGGGACAGAAGCCTGGGTCCCCCTCATGTGGAGGGTTTTACTAATCATTCACTGACTACTTCTGGACTTCTTGGAGATAAAGAGAGAACAAAACTCTTCTTGCATTTAAGCCATTGATAACGGATGCACCTTCCTGCCAAGTTTTTAAGGCCATGTGTAGCAGTTCACATCCTGGAAGACTGATTCATTTATTGGCCTGAAGAATGTAGGGGGCTGGATCTGCTTATCTTGAAGCTCTTCTCCAAACTGTGGACATCTATTGTCCTAACTGGAGATGACTAATAATGGATTTGACCTCTGCATGCAGTAATAAGTTCCCCATTACTGGAAGTGTTCATGCAGAAACTAGATGTGATGTTATAATGATCTATCAATATCTGCTCCTAATAGTCTCTGATGTTTGTGAGGAAAGAGGCCTTGTTTGTATTGTTTACAGCTGAAACTTCAGAACCTTGTCCTCAGTTGATGCCCAATAAATAACTGATGAATGAATAAATTAACAAATAAACAGATATAATCTCTGAGAAATATCATGGTGAAAAGAGCACTGGCATCAAATTTAGATAGATTCCCCCCAACCTTTTTTTGACTAGGTGTTACTCTGGTGCCCAGGCTGGAGTGCAGTAGCATGATCTTGGCTCACTGCAGCCTCAACCTTCCAGACTCAAGCGATTCTCCTACCTCAGCCTCCCAAGTAACTGGGACTGCAGGTGCTTGCCACCACACCCAGCTGATTTTTGTATTTTTTGTAGAAGTGGGCTTTCGCCAAATGTGGCAGGTCCATTCGAGTCCAGGTAGGTCTCGAATCCCTAGGCTCAAGTGATCCTCCCACTTTGGCCTCACAAATTGCTGGAATTATAGGCTTGGGCCACTGCGCCCGGCACAGATCTGTTTTTTATCCCAGCTTTCTGGCTCACTACCTGTGATACCAGTGCTCTCTCTGCCCAGTCCCTCTGCTTTTTTGGAATTGGGACTCACTCTGACCTGTTCTCATGGTTGCTGTAGAAATGTCATATTCTTCAGAAACCTCAGCTCTGGCCATAGTTGTTTGCTGGGGATTGGCGGGGGTGCTTGACACTGGGTCGATCAGCATCCTTTCCTGGAAATTTGAAATTGGGACTCAGAGATTCTTATGAGATGTAAATTTGGGAGCTATTTGTTTCAGGAATATTTTGTGCAGTGGTTTTGGAAATAGAGAAAAATGAGGCAGACATTAAGAGAAAAGGAGAGACACCAAGAGAAAGAAATGCTTGGCCAGGCGCGGTGGCTCACTCCTGTAATCCCAGCACTTTGGGAGGCCGAAGCGGGTGGATCACGAGGTCAGGAGATCGAGACCATCCTGGCTAACACAGTGAAACCCCATCTCTACTAAAAATACAAAAAATTAGCCAGGCATGGTGGCAGGCGCCTGTAGTCCTAGCTACTTGGGTGGCTGAGGCAGGAGAATGGCGTGAACTCAGGAGGCGGAGCTTGCAGTGAGCCGAGATCACACCACTGCACTCCAGCCTGGGCAACAGAGTGAGACTCCATCTCAAAAAAGAAAAAAAAAAAAATTCCTGGGCTCCCTACAGTGCTCCAGGCCCTGGTCTGGTCTGATCGTGATGAAACGGGAGTTCTCTTACCCCCTCACAGGGTGTGAAGCAGGGGTGTGGCTTGCTTCTTTGGTGCACCACTGCTCAAACCCCTCTAGGGAGCATGCAGAGGGCAGGTCATGGGGCTCCGACTCCATAGCAGTGTCTAGGGTTGAGTGTTTATAGCTCCCGAAGCCCCAGTGGGTGTGTGTTACAGTGCACTCTTTCGGTTTTGCCGTCTGCAGGTGGCTTGTGTTAATCAGCTCAGTTAGACCCTCAGTTAGCCTTATCGCAAGGACAGAGGGCTTTCTGTGTCCCGGAATCTTGCCCTAGTGTACTGGAGAAATCAGATTACACGTGGGCTTGGAAGATGAGCACAAGGTTTTATTGTGTGGTGGAGGTAGCTCTCAGCGAGGTGGATGGGGAGTCAGAAGGGGGATGGAGTGGGAAGGTGGTCTTCTGGTGGAGTTGGGCTCCCGATCGAATTCTGCATCATCCTGCCTCAACGGCCTGTAGTGTCTGCTGGTGTCTGTTGGTGTGCTCTTCTGCTCCTCTTGATGTCCAGCTGCTTGTGGGTGTGCCTGCTGTGGTCCCAGGTTTTTAATGGGCACAGGATGGGGGGTGTGATGGGCCAGACTGGTCTTGGAAAATGCAACATTTGGGCGCAAAAACAGGAGTGCTTGTCCTCACTTAGGTCTGTGGGCACAGGCCTGAGGGTGGAGCCCTCACCAGGGACCCTGCCCCTCTCTACCCAGCACTTCCCTGCCTCCTTTCCATATCACAGACCATCTGTCCTTGGGATTTTGAGATTTCCTATAGTCTTATAATCCCTTTTGGTTTCAGCTGACTTCAGGGGGCTTCTGTTCCTACCAGCAAGAGTCCCAACTAATATGCAAATATTCAAGATCTCCCAAGGAAATTAGGTGGAAGGAGAATGGCCTAGGATGGAAGCCTGGGGACCACCGGCATGTTACTCTCACGTGGGGAGGGGAAGAGGGCCCTGCAAAAAGACTGAGGAGCAGGAGGAAAATCAGGAAAGGTGGTTGCAAATGCAACCAGGATAAGGAATGATGGAAAAGAGTCCACTGCAACATGAGGATGCATGGGGACCTTGAGAACAGTGCTGGGTGAATGCAGATGAAGTCAGGCTGCAGGTGATTCAGAGAAAGTGCGCAAATGAGGAAGTTCATCTATGAGGGTAGATACTTCTGGAGGAAGCTTGACTGTGAAACGGGATAAGGAGGACACTGGTAAAGCTCAAGGGAAAAGGGTTGAGGGAGGCTCTCTCTCTCTCGCTTGCTCGCTCGCTCTCGCTCTCTCTTTCTCTTTAGGGCAGAAGAGACTTGAGGATGTTTATAGATTGAGGGGAGATGTTAATGATGCCCAGTTGAGAGGGGCTGATGTGTGCTCCCTGAGGGTCCAGGCACTGGGGACAGGCTGGACTTGGACAGAGGAGGGATGCTTATCTTCTAAGATGGAAGGGGAGGCGGCAGGAGTGGTTTATAGTGTGTGAGGGGAGTGTGGGGTGCTTCCAGCCTGATGCCTCAATCTTCCCATTGTAGTGAGACGTGAGCATAGCAGGTGGGGCTGAATGAGCTGGAGAAGAGTGGTGCAGGCATCTTGAAAGGGGAATGGGAGGAAGTGCTTCTAGAGAGTGAGCCAAGAGTAGGGCAGTGTGGGGGCCCTGCTGTGGTGGACCAGGTGTGCTGGAGCCTTCTGCATAGCAGGGAAGCCTACTTCAGCCAGCACAGGAGCTGAGCAGATAGATGGTGGAGTGGGGGTGTGGGTCACTGGGCCGCGGACTAAGAGGGCAGGGGTGCAGGGTGTTGTAAGTGCTGGTTCAGATGATCCACCAGGGGTCACCCAGGCAACAGGGGAAGGAGCAGTGGGGTCAGCTGAGAGAAAAGAGCAGGGGAGAGGCCCAGAGGCCCTCAGGAGGTCCAGGGCTGCAGAATGCTGCCAAAGGGCTCCCGGGAGGCAGGCAAGGGGAACAGCATATGTTTGGTGGATTCTGAAGGTGGGGTTAGTCTCTAGACAAAGTTATAACTCAGTCTATGGCCAAGGTCAGGCTCAGGCTATGACCACAGTCATGGCTCAGTCTTAGCAGGGCTCTGTCTGGGGTTATTTTTGTGCTCACTGTATGATCTGGGAGAAGTTGAGCAACTTTCCTGGTGAAGCAGACTGACCCCTGCACAACTGCAAGCTCAAACCCAGGTCTGTCTATTCACAAACTTGGGAACCAGCTCGCAGACCCTAGGCTGAGCAGAGTGGAGTTATCAGAGATTTCTTTCTTTCTTGGGGAAGCCTCTTCCCTGTCATCTCTGTATGTACCACTAGAGGGCAGCAGAGACTTGACTAATGGAAAAGGCCAGCACTTTAACCCAGCAGCAACCTGAAACCCGTGCCAAGCTTGACTCACAGGATCAGGGGGCTGGGGAAGGATTTCTCAACTCCACCTGCACCATCACTTGGTCCAGGCCCAACCTTTTTGCTGAGATCAGCTCCGAGGGTCAGAGGTCCAGACTCTGGAACCCTGACACTGACATTAACCCCTGACAAGGGACCCTTACCGTGCCTCAGCCCTGACCTCTCTCTGGCCAGATCATCAGTCCTGGAGACTGGGAGTGGGGTTTGATTGCATCTGTACCCCCAGTGCCTAACACAGAGCCCAGCACCGAGTGGGTGCTTTGGAAATGTTTATCCAAGCAGCACTTGGAGGGTGGAACAGTGCAATATGTTGGAAAGTGCCTGGCTTTGGGATCAAAGAGATCTGATTTAAAGTCTGGGTCTAGCTGTGTGATCTTAAGCAAGTCACTCAGCCTCTCTGAGCCTCTAATTCGCCATCTGTTAGAGGAAATACTGGCACCTAAGTTGAAGGGCCGTTGTGAGGATTAAATGAAATGACCCAGGGATGTACCCAGTACCAGAGACCAGTTGCTTAATGAAGGCAGCAATTATTATGATGCAGTTTTGAGGGATGGTGAGTAGCCGGGTGTGGTAGAGGAATAGGTGGGAGATGAAAGATGTGATTGTCAGAGGAGGCTGGAAGTCACAAAGGAGCCTGAATGCCACATTAAGGACATGCGGTTTTCTTCTGTCTGCAACGGGGAGCCCCTGAGGAACTCGTGATCTACTTGGTGAGATGGAACTATGATACAAGACGTGGGAAAACTTTTCTCTCAGCTCTTTGTCAGCCTCACTGCTGGCTGGAGCACTGAATAACAGTGATATTAAGGTGTCCTTCTCAGGGTAACATCTAGAGGCAAGCAATGTCCATGTGCCTCTCGTTGATGATGTTATTTTCATCCCCTGGTCTATGTGTTAAATTTTTTTTTTTTTTTGAGACGGAGTCCTGCTCTGTCACCCAGGCTGGAGTGCAGTGGTGCTATCTCGGCTCACTGCAAGCTCCGCCTCCCGGGTTCACACCATTCTCCTGCCTCAGCCTCCCGAGTAGCTGGGACTACAGGTGCCTGCCACCACGCCTGGCTAATTTTTGTTGTATTTTTAGTAGAGACGGGGTTTCACCGTGTTAGCCAGGATGGTGTCGATCTCCTGACCTCATGATCCACCTGCCTCGGCCTCCAAAAGTGCTGGGATTACAGGCATAAGCCACCGCGCCCGGCTGTGTTTTAAATTTTTTAAAATGCTGGGAACACAGGGAAGTATCTCACCTGCTCCCCTCACCTGTGTCCCACATGGTGGGAATTGGTACGATTTGCATCATGATTGTCATTGCTCTCCTGGGAACTGGGCACCAGGAGATAAGAAGCACCTAATCCTTGCCCTTGAGGATTACACAGCCTCCCAAGAAGCTCCCTGGCTAGTGGGAAGACAGGCAAGTAGACTCATTCATTTATCCATGCATTCATTCCGCAGATCCACAGATATATACTGAGCACGTATGTGGGCCAAGCTAGGATACAGAGGTGAACATGAGAGAACAGCTGGTACTTACCTTCATGATGCCTCCAGTCTAGTGGAGAAGATGATTAAAGGAGTGATATATCCCCAGCACCTAGAACTGTACCTGCCACATAATAGCTGCTCAGTAAATAGGGGTTGACTGAATGAATAAATTACTGCACATCACAGCAGCAGCAGTTCTTCCCTAGAAGTCATGTTTTGCCTCTGTTCCTTTCACAGGTGAAGAAACTGAGGCTCAGAGAGGAGAAATAGCCCTCTGTCCCTAACCAGGTGGCTTTGGGGGTTGCAAACCCTGATCTTCCCAAGCAGAACTGGGCCAGCAAGTTGGTTTCCTGTTTGTGGGCATCTGGGGGTTGGGCGCACTGGGGAAGGAGCTGGCTCCCCCGCCTTCCGGCTGTGCTGCCTCCTCTCCCTATCCTGCTCTGGGTCCTGGGGGCCCTTGATTGGGCCTGTGGTTATTTAGTCAGTGATAATATTGGATTTACTTTCATCTCTGAATTGCATCAAATGTCGCCAGTGACATTTAGCTGACACACAAGGAGGAGGCTGGCATTTTTAGACTGTCAGCATGTTACAGATGTAGAAGTGGATTGTGTAGGGGCATCTGGCTTATTGTTAATTAGATGGAGACAGCGAGGCCTCCTCCACGAGCGGCTGAATAAGCCCCACCATAGCTCTGCTTCAAACCGACTTCGGACCCCCTCCCAGAAATTAATAAGGCTCTGACAGCTTTCCCATTGTGATAGGGAATTCATTTCAGAAGTTTGGGGAGCAAATGACAAAGTGAACTGTTCTCCATCTGTGGATTTCTTTTATATTTCACTTATGCCCTGATGACTTACTGTCCTCGTCTTTTGCAACTGGAGCGATAAAGTGAAGGGAAAACAGCTAGATTTGGACAGCAATTCACATTAGTTCAACAGTTACACATTCAACAGATAATTTATTGAATGCTTACTAGCTGCCTGAACCCTGGTTCATCCCTTAACCTCTCTGCCTCAGTTTTCTTATTTGTTAATTGGGATAATCATAGTCCTACCTCATAGGGTTGTTGTGAGGATTAAATGAATTAAAATATTCAAAGGGCTTGGAAGAGAGCCTGGTACATAGTAGACACCATGTACTTTCTACAACCATGACTGCCACTATTATTATGATACTTAGTGTGGTGGGTACTGAGAAGTTTCAGAACATACCCTCCCTTCCCTCAAGTAACTTACAATCTGATGGAGGAGATGGACACATCCACAACCAACTCTTTGAAGACTAGGATTGTATTATTTTGGGATTCTATGATTATGAGACATGAAAGTTCAACAATTCCCTATTTTTAAGATTCTCTCATAGTCCTTATATTCTCTGGGTCTATGATTCTAGGGTTCTGTGATTCAAAGTGCCAAGAAGTGATCTGAAGTGACAAACGCTGGCTTGATGTTTGTCAAACCCATTTCCCTTTCTTCCTGGGCACACAGACTGTTTCTGCAGCCTCCCTTACAGTTAGATGTGTTTGTGTGGCTGACTTCTGGCAAAGGAAGGTGGGCAGATGTGACATTAGCCACTGCCAGGCCTGGCCCCTGAAACTTCCGATGGAATCAGAGGTTCCATGCCCTCTCTTTCTCTTTCTCCATTTCCTGGCTGGATGGAGGGCACACCAAAGACCTACTGGGGGCAGAGCCACAATATAGAAGGAGCCTGGGTTCCTGAAGGAGCACTTGGAAGGTTGTCCAGCCAGGAATGTGAGCACGAAATACACTTTCATTGTGTTAAGCCATTGAGATTTCAGAATTTATCTAACTTGGCAACTGGAGAAATGTTAATACCTTCAGGCACTCTTTAGAAGTTATAATGAGTCAGAGGTCACAGAAGTTTGGGACAGGTGAGAAGGCAGGTCCGAACTTTTCCTGATAGAACCTCTTTCACATCCTTTCCCCATTATCTGCACCAGCTCTCTGTGCAGTTGGTGCATGACATCCCAAATGTCCAGGTCCAGGCCTGCCCCATTCAGAGCCCCCTCAGCTCTCAGCAGGTGGGGCATAAGGCTGTCTGATATGATCATACCATGTGGCCAAGGTCTCTGCCTCTCCTCACCCTGCAACAAATACAGAAACCCTGACTAGAGTTGAGGTTGTCATTACTCTGACCATGGGGCCAGGGACCCCACCCTGTGGGCAGGTCCAGGTCATGCCCACCTCCACTTTCCCTTGCTCTTTTGGAGTGAGCTGGGCCCAGCTCACCCTGTCCCTCTCTCACCTTCTCTCTCTTGTCGCTGGGCACCTGCACAACTCCTACTCCCCAGGTCCCTCCTCCTTGAGTATGCTTGCCAGAATAGAGTCTGTTCCTTGTCAAAGGAAACTTTTGTAATTTGTACTTAAACTGCACTGGGAAAGATTGTGTTTTCAGCTTGCATTAGTTTGATAAGTAAATGGGCACAAAAATTAAGAACTTTGCTTCTGCCAGAGCCTGGCTGGGATCTGAACAACTTGGGATCTGAACTTTAAAGAATTTCAGTCACTAGGCTACAAACACAATGGGGAAGAGGGGCATGTGGAAGACCCTCCCCCTTCTCCATCCAGCAAGTGAGCTCCTAAGTCACCTCCTCCAGGGTGTCTTCCATGATTCTCTCAGAGTTAGCTGCTTCTTTCTCTGTGCCTCAGCTTCCTCATCTGTAAAAGGCAGATGCTTATTCACAGGGATATGCTAGGGATTAAATGAGATAATACAGTTCACATGGCTCAGAACAGGGCCTAGCCCTAGTAAGTACCCAGTTCTGTTAGCTGAGGTTGTTGCTAGTGTTGATGTTAGGATGGCTCACCGGGACTCTAGTTTGCAAGGATATGCACTGGTTTTCTGGGAGAAAGATGCGTAAAGAAAACTCTGACCTAAGGACACCAATATTAAGCCTTGAATTGAAGAAAAGGGAACAAAACCTGTCCCTGGAATCTGGGAAAGGAGTCCAGGCAGGAACTGAACTCAGTGATCTGTCTTCAGAGGAGAGGAAATTCTGAGCAGGGACTCTGACATGTATTTCAGGCCAGACTTCCAGCAAATACTTGTCCCAGGTTCTTGAAGAGAATGGGACACATGTTCTGTGGAAGCCCCTTAATGAGAACTGGAACAATCTGGAGGTCAGACACTTTACACCTTAAGAAGCTGAAGTTCAGAGGGGTTAAGTCACCTCCCCAAGGTCACACAGCCATTAACTGGCAGAGCTAGAATTAGCACTGGAGTGTGAGAGACTCAATTGTTCCAGATCTTTTCCTTGGTCTTGGCCAGGGCCACATGAGAGAGGGCAACAGCTGCAGAGGTGGAGAACTCAAGAGAGGCCTCTAGGCAGGCAGTGCTGCGAGGGCAGCTGGAAAGCTCTGAATGTCACCAAACAGAAATCACGAGCCTGCCCAGGGACCAGGAGAAGGAGGTTGGAGTCTCATGGACTCATTATTCCCTGTCCCAGGGATGGCCTTCCCCTCCAGCTGGCATGGCAGGGAAGCCAGCAATATTGCACAGGATGGTTGCTCCCTGCAGATTGGTGCTTGTTTGCAAGGGCCGTGTACACTACGCATTTGCTCTATGTAAATAACAAAATAAAAGGCAGGCACTGGCACCGTGCAGTTCCGCAGTCCCTGTGTAATTCTGCTGTCCTTTGGAGCAGGAGGCTTCCAACAGAAAGATGTTTAGCTACTAATGGATTCTACCTGAGTTGCCGTCTAAACAGCAAACACCTTTGCAGCTGCATGAAATCTTTCCCAATTCAGGTGGGTGGCAGGGGAGAAAGAAAAGGCGAGCCGGGTGGAGTGGGCTTTACATGCTGTTATTTTTAGGACATGAGGGAGGGCCTTAGAGATTTGAGCTGGTGTGGGTGTTACAGAGGGAGGTCTTTCAGGTTGGACATGCTCTCTAAAAATGGAAAGAGGCCAAAAAAACATAATGATTCTTTAATGGCAGAGCCTGAGATAAAGGGCTAAAATATTTATGTCACCTTTTTAACCTGAGTTTTATAAGGATGAAATTTAGCATCTATCTTCCATTATGTGTTGTCAACCTTACGGCTGCACCCAGTTATGAGCTGTTATAATGTGCAGCAGACAGTTTTATTTCTCTTGTTTACATGAGTCCTGTCTGCCATCTGACTGAGTCCCTGACACACATGTCTATGGTAATTCGCTCGAACACCTGTATATTAGAGGTGGCCTTGGTGACACAGAGCTTTGAATAGATTGGAGGTCTTTTTTTTCCCTCATGGATGCTGCAAAGTCAGAATATATGTGGACAACTGATCTCTGATTAATGGTGAACTCATAAATAACCTCAGGATGTGAATGAAGCTCAGGAGGCAGCCGAGTCAAATGGAGGGAGGGGAGATTATTTGATGGCGTCTGGCACATGTTTGGGGCAGCCTCATAAAGCAGAAAAAGCACACATTTCCCAGTGAGACAGAACTGGGCTGCAGTCTCAGATCTGCCACATTTGACTGTGAGCCTAGGGAAGTCACTTTACCTCTCTGAGCTTCAGCTCTCTTATCTAGGGAATGATAATAGTCCCTGCCTCACAGGGATGAGATGACACAGGGAATGTAAAGTTCCAGCAACAAATGGTTGATCCATAATGCTGGTTTTTATCCCCTTTGGGGACAGCTGGTTTTAATCTATCTTAGGTTTGCTGTATTTCTGTATTTTCTTTTTCTCTGTGTATGTCTACTGACTTACAAGCTGGCCTGAGTAGAACAAAGACTCTGAGTGTGAGGATATTGTGTGTCCTGTTTTCTACCAAACATCTGACATGGTTGAGGTTTAGAATGTTGTGGTACAGACTGTTTCTTGACATAGGTAATTCTTCAGCTATAGATTAAAACTTCAAGGACCTGGTCCTTGGTTCACAGCAGGTCCTCACTAACTCTTTGTGGTGGAATGCTGGCTAATGAATCAACAACGAATCTCCATCATCCAGGGGATCCATATTTGAGCTCCACACAGGGAACATGTATTCACCACCTGCTGCACAGAAGTGGCTGAACAGATACTAACCACACCTTGGACACAGAGAGCCCTTCTGCTTCCTTAGGTAAAGGTTCTGCACAACGTGACACAGGTACACTGAGCAAAGAGGGACTAATGGTCTGGGAAGTCAGGAAGGCTTCCTAGAACAGGTGACATTTGAGCTAGGTCTTGAAGATGCACAGCTCTTCAAAGAGGAAGAAGGAGAAGGAGGAAAAGAGTCCTGGGTCAAAAGCACATGCAAACCCCAGAGGCATGAGAGTTGAGCTTTAGTCTGTATCCTGAGTGAAATCTAAGAGTATTCAGACAGCATTTCTGTGCCCCCAGGAGCAGCCCGTGCTTCAGACAGGCAGAGTTCAGCCACAGAGCTGCAGCTGAGGATGCTGTCCATCACGGTAATAACTTAGGTAGCATTTATGGAGCACTTAATCCTATGTACTTGGCACTGTAGGTGCTTTACACATAGTAACTCCTTCAATCTCCATCAATTTATGAGAGAGCCACTATATATATCCCCACTTTAGAGATGAGAAAACTGATGCCCAGAGGCCACATAACTTGCTTAAGGTCATGAAGCTAAAGATGACAAGCGCCCCTAATCTCCCTTTCTTTCAGAAGATGGGGGCCCATTTTAGTGCGCTCACTTACTTGATGTCTTCCGTGAGAGAAGTGCGCTGCCCACAGATTTATTGTATGATAAAGCCAGAATGAGCCACTAATTTGGAAATCATTGTTCAGCTGGGAATGGGGAGGAGAGGGAAGAAGAAATTGTATGTGATGACAAGATGGAAAATTAGAGGTGGCTAAAACTAAGTGATATTACTCACACATCTCAGCCCTCCCCCACACACCTGTTTTTCTTCCTGTTTTCTTCCTTTGTTCTCCCTCCTGGTGTTTAGTAAGGCTGGGCACAGGTTGCTGGTGATAAGAAGCCCAGAGAATGACAGGATCCAGGGTGGTCTCCCTGCTGGCACTGACTTAAAGGCAGTGACAACTCCTTGTTGCAGGAGCCACTCTCATTTCTGCTTTCCTCCTTTGTCTTTTTCTCCTGAGGCTCAAGTTTAAATTATGTTTTCTCCCCTCACTTGTTGAAGACACTTGGTGAAGGGGATCAGGGGGTTTGTCAGTAGGGATGGTGGGTGCAGGTGGCTGTGGGACAGAGGCAGAGAGAAGGAGGAGAGTGGGAGGAGGAGGGAGGAGGAGGGAGGAGGAGATGGGGGTGAAGGAGGGGAGTGGGACGAAACTGGCGAGAATGGGAAGGGGAGGCCAAGAGGAGGGGAGGAGAACGGGGGAAATGAGAGAGAAGGGGAAGGTGTCGGATAGATAGCTGATTTCCTCTTAGTGCTCTGGAGACCCTCTTCTCCCTGCCTCACTGTCTACCTCTGAGGTTCAGAAGGTGGAGGTTTTCCTTCTGGTCCACAAACCCCAGTACCTGGGAAAGGCCTGGTACTGGGCCCTGGGTATCCACCTAGGTAGTTCGGAGCAGCACTGTTGGCTCAGTGACTGTGGAAGTAAACTGAATGGACATGCTCACTGGAAGGGGCTGGGTGGCCATCAACAAGTGTGAGAGAGGCTCAGTCTGTGATTCTAGAAGAGGGATGGCCTGGGATAGGGTGGGTGGTGCTGAGCTTTAGACTCCAAGTAGACCTTTATTCGGATCCCAGCTTCTGCCAAGTAGCTGGGACTACAGACATGTGCCACCACACCTGGCTGACTTAATTTTCAATGATATTAATAAATTGTTAAAATTTTAAGGTAGGTTAGGTTAGGGTATTTGTTTGAAACAGAGAAAAAAATCCTTGCTTTTTAGAGATACATGTTGAAATATTTAGGAATAAAATGAATGGTATTTGATTTTTTTTTTTTTTTTTTGAAATGGAGTTTTGCTCTTGTCACCTAGGCTGGAGTACAATGGCGCAATGTCGGCTCACTACAACCTCCGCCTCCTGGGTTCAAGTGATTCTCCTGCCTCAGCCTCCCGAGTAGCTGGGATTACAGGTGCCTGCCACCACGCCTGGCTAATTTTTGTAATTTTAATAGAGACAAGGTTTCACCATGTTGGCCAGGCTGGTCTCGAACTCCTGACCTCGGGTGATCCACCCACCTCGGCCTCCCAAAGTGCTGAGATTATAGGCATGAGCCACCACACCCGGCTGGAATTTGATTCTTAAAAAACCCAACAACCCAAGTGTTTGGAAGGGGTGACTGAGTAGAAATGTAGAGGAATCAAGACTGGCCAGGGATTGGTACCTGATGAAGTTGGGAGATGGGTACATGCAGGTTCACCATTCTCCCTACTTTTGTATATTTTTCAAAATGTCCATAATGACAACTTTAAAAAAGTATTGAGACGCTTGTTTACACCATGACCAAGTGGAATTTATGGCAGGTATGAAAGGCTGGTTCAACACTTGAAAATCAATTATTGTGATTCATATTAACAGGCTAAAGAAGAAAAATCACACAATTGTATCAAGAGATGCCGAAAGGCATTTGACATACTCCAATATTCACTAATGATAAAAAAAATTCTTGGCAAGCTAGGAATAGAGGGGACTCTCCTCAACTTGATAAAGAAAACCTACAAACAAACAAAAAACTACTGCTAACATTATACTTGATGAGAAACTAGAAGCTTTCCTACTAAGGTAGGAATAAAGCAAGCATGTCTCATCTCTTCACTTCTTTTCAACATTGCATTAGAATTTCTAGTCGATCTGATAAGACAAGAAATGGCACATGTATACATATGTAACAAACCTGCACACTGTGCACATGTACCCTAGAACTTAAAGTATAATAATAAAAAAAAGAGAATAACAAGTTTAAGATTGGGAAGGAAGAAATAAAACTATCTTTGTTCACAGATGACATGATCATCTGTGTAGTAAATTTGAAAGAATTGACAAAAAAAACCAAAACAAAGCAAACTTCTGGAACTAATAAGCAATTTTAGCAAGGTTGCAGGATACATGGTTAATATATAAAAGTTAATGATTTTTCCATATGCCAGCAACTAACACATGGAATTTGAAATGAAAAGCACATTACCATTTACATTAACACTGTGAAAAATGATATACTGAGGTATAAATCTAACAAAATATGTAAAACATCTGTGTGAGAAAAACTATAAAGCTCTGATGAAATAACTCAAAGAAGAACTAAATAAATGGAGATATATTCCATGTTCATGGATAGACAGACTCAATACTATCTATTTGACAGTTCTTCCTAACTTGATCTATAGATTCAATACAATCCCAGTGAAAATCCCAGCAAGTTATTTTGTAGATATCGACAAACTGATTCTAAAGTTTATATGGAGAGGCAAATCACCTAGGATAGCCAACACAACATTGAAGGAGATGAACAAATTTAAAGGATTGGCATTACATGGCTTCGAAACTTACTACAAAGCCACAGTAATCAAGATGGTGTGGTATTGGCAAAATAGACAAATAGATCATTGGAACAGAACAGAGAGCCCCAAAATAGAATCATATAAATATGGTCAACTGAACTTTGACAAAGGAGCAAAGGCAATACGATGGAGAAAAGACAGTCTTTTCAACAAAAGGTGCTAGAACAACTGAAGCTTCACATGGCAAAAAACCGATCGAGATATAGACCTTAAACCTTTCAAAAATTAGCTCATTTTTGTTAATTTTGTGAAAGGATCATAAATTTAAATGTAAAATAAAAATAACAAAACTCCTAGAAGATAGCATAGGAGAACATCTAGATGCTCTTGGGTATGGCAATGATGTTTAAGATAAAACACCAAAGACAAGATCCATGAAAGAAATAATTGACAGGCTGGACTTCATCAAAATTTAAAACTTCTGCTCTGTGAAAGACACCTTCAAGAGAATAAGACAAACCACAAACTGAGAGAAAATATTTGCAAAAGATACATTAAATAAAGGACTGTTATCCAAAATACACAAAGAACTCTTAAAACGCAACAGTAAGAAAATGAACAACCCTATTTTAAAAATGGGCAAAAGACCTGAACACATACTTCACTAAAAAAGATGCCAAGTGGGGAATGAAGGATGAATAGGTGGAGCACAAAGGATTTCTAGAGCAGTGGAAATATTCTGTATGATACTGTAATAGTGGATATGTGTTATAAATTTGTCCAAACCCAGAGACAACACCAAGAGTGAACCCTAATGTGAATTATGGACTTTGGGTGATAATGACATGTCATTGTAGGTTCACTGATGGTAAAAAATGTAGCCCTCTAATGCAGGATGTTGATAGTGGAACAGGCTGTGTGTGGGGGCAGGGGGTATACAGGAACTCTCTGTACCTTCTGCTCAATTTTGCTGTGAACTAAAACTTCTTAAAAAATAAAGTTTGTTAAAAATATACTGATAAGTTTGGAGTCAAGTCCACCTTCGTTCGAGGCTAGGTTTGCCACTGACTTGTTGGTGACTTTGAGCAAGATTCATAAACTTTCTGAGCCTCAGTTTCTCCCAACCATAAAAGAAAAGATAATGGAGAATAGTGATCACTTAAAAATAAAAAATATGGCCGGGCGCGGTGGCTCATGCCTGTAATCCCAGAACTTTGGGAGGCCGAGGGGGGCAGATCACGAGGTCAGATCGAGACCATCTTGGCTGACACGATGAAACCCCATCTCTACCAAAAATACAAAAAAAATTAGCCAGGCTTGGTGGCGGGCGCCTGTAGTCCCAGCTACTGGGGAGGATGAGGCAGGAGAATGGCGTGAACCCAGGAGGCGGAGCTTGCAGTGAGCTGAGATCGCACCACTGCACTCCAGCCTGGACGAGAGCGAGACTCCATCTCAAAAATAAAATAAAATAAAATAAAATAAAAATTAAAAATATGTGAAGTAGTTAGAGCTGTTTTGGACCCCTAATAGTGTTAGTTAGGAGAGGCATATGGTATAGTGCTTGAAAGCATAAACTCTGTAGCTGGACTTGCTGCTACAGTGTCAGTTCCAGCTTTGTCACTTATGAGCTGTGTAACCTTGGGCAAGATACTGACCCTCTCTAGATGCCTCAGTTTAACCTGAGACAGTACAGGCTGAAGATGTCAAGTCTTAGAGAACTGTAAGACAGGCCATACGGTCTGGGCTTCTCTGCTTCACTCCAGTGGAATCCTGGCTAAAGGAGAAAGGTAAAAATGACAGGGTGAGGCAGGGTAAGGAACAAAGCTAACATTTATTGAAACCTACTGTGTTCCATATTTATTCATTTACTTCATAAGAATTTAACTGAACACCTATCATGTGCTAGGGGGCACTCTAGTTGCAAACAAGACAGAGGGCCCTCATGGAGCTTATATTCTTGTGGGGCAGACAGACAGCAGGCAGCTGAATGGATGAACAGGTTGACTTTCGTTTGTAATATTACCCTGGAGGTGAAGGGGATGCTGAGATGGAAGGAACTGGAACACCTCCTCCAGGCTGGGTGGTCAGAGAAGCCTTCCCTGAGAAACCTTTGACTCATCTAAGGTTTGAAGGGTGACACGGAGAAGCCAGCCATGTGAAGGTCTGGGAGAGGATCATTCCAGGCCCTGGCCTAGGAATTGGTTATATTATTTCATGTAATTCTCACAATAGCCTCAGATAAAATTATACCTCTTTCGGAGGCTGAAAGGCTAAGTTACTTGCTTGAGGAAGTGGTAGAGATAAATTGAGCCCAGTTCATCAGATACAAAGTGCCCTTTCAGGTAGTGTTTTTGAAAGAAAACAAAGGTGAAAACTCAGCATTTTATCTCAGAGAAATAAAAGAATAAATTGGCAGCTGTCGTGAATGATGCTGTCTTAAAAACAATTCTCCCCATAAGTGGGTCCTCAAGGCAGATTTCCCTCTTCCATACCTTTTCCTGGGCCAGCTTCTTAGCCCAGAAGGCCTTTCTTGCTTCTGCATGCCCATCCACATCCTCCCATCTCTTGGGGCCCAACTCCAGCTCCACTTCTCAGGAAACCTTCCAGGAGGGCTCCAGGTCCTGGCAATTAAAGGAAATGTCTTCCAGAGAGGGAATGAGTTCTGTCCAAGGTTACAGGAAAGGGGTGTCAGAGCCAGGAGGTGAGACTCATATCTAGGCCTCCTCCTGACCCCCAGGAAAGGGCCCTTCCTCCCGCCCCCCAGGAGCACCATCCCAGCTGCTGGGCCTCCTCGCCTCATGCCCAGTAGGCAGCTGTGCGTTGCCTTCTGCAGGCTTCAGTTCCCGCCCCCTCCCTCTCCACACTCAGATTTCCTTCTGGGAGGAAAGAGCATTTTTTTTCGCAGAGATGACTCTGTTCTTGTGGCCATAGATTACTCTTGACACCTAATTACTGTATATCATCATGCCATAAAATAATGATTGGAGGTGTCACTGTCCCAAATTTGCGTTCATAAAATACGTGTTCTTTTTGTTTTCCTCCTCTGCATTTGTCTGGGAGAAAAGACAGGCAAATTTATTCCAACTTTTTAGAGGAACTTTAAAGCACAGGAACAGAAGAAATTTAGAGGTGGGTGGTTTTCAAAATACCCTGCAGAGGGAGGAGGCCTCGGCCCAGCTGATTTTATGTGGCCTAGGGAGAAAATGAAGACCTTGGCTGAGACATTGTCTCCTTCCAACCTGCATTTCTTTGTCTTTGCCTGCCTGGCAAAAACCCCTCCTCCATCTTTTTCTCCCCAACCCTCTGCTCCCCCATCGCTTCTACCCTGCATCAGGCTCCTCTAAGGAAACACTGGAATGTGGTGGAAAAGATTCCCATTCTAATGTTACCCAGACTTGGTTTCAAATCTTGCCTCTGCTGCTCGCCAGCCCTGTGACCTTGGGTAAGTTCTGCCGCTTCCGGAGTCTTGGTTCAATCACATAGACAATGGGGAATAATAAATACTACTTCTGCCTCACACAGCTGCTCTGGGGATTAAGAATAAAATCGTAAATGTAAAGCATCTAGTAAGGGATCTGCCACAAAAGAAGGGCTCAACAAATGTCTGCTGCTTGTCCAGCCCACCAAAGTTCTCCTGTTTGTTTTCCTAGAATCCATCCTTACCTGATTAACATCTCCCTTCTCTGGCAAGCTCAGGCTACAGTCAGGAGTCTGGAGGAAAGCCATCTGATTAAACTGGCTGGCACGGGGGAAGAGCGGCTGAGATCCACGCAGCCCTCCGAGGGGCATCAACAAGGACATTTTGAAAGGGCAATCTGATTTGTCACAGAGAGGAACCAGTGAAGTTAGCTTGTTCCACTGCTCTGGCTGCCCAGGGAGGCCCCCACAAGACACCTGCAGGTGGCTTTCCAGCCTCTTGTCCACCTTGATGGGGATGAGTTCTCTGCCTCCTGAGGTGGCCCATTTAGAGTTAATCTCTCTGGGGCCTCATGCTCCCCTCATCACACCTCTCCCCCACCTGGAAAAATATTCTCTGTGGGCTTTGGGAGTGGTTCTTTAAACCAAGATAATTTGTCTTGTGGATCCAAACCAGCTCGCCAGCGATTCCTGCCTTAGAAGGGGGGACTTGAGGACTTCCAGGTGGGGGCAGAGTGAATGGCTGCAAGAGGAGGGGCCTTATCCCATCTCACCTCTGCCTGGCAAAGACCTTAGCTCTCAAGGCTCAAGTCAGAAGGCACCTCCTCTGAGTGCCTTTCTCAGCTTGGGGTATTTGTCTCCTACTCTGAGATTTCTGTACTGGATTCTTCCCTGAGGTTGGCCCTCTGTCAGTGGCTGGGTATGGGTCTGGGCCACCCTCTGACCTGGGATCCTCAATCTCAGGGCACCCTAAATGTTTGTCAGGCTTGTTCAATGTCTGCCTCTCTAGGCTGGCAGCTTCACTAGGGTGTGGCTGGATCAGCCTGCTCACTGCTGTATCCCAGGTGCCTAGTACAGTGCTGCCACACAGTAGGTGCTCAGTGAACACTTACCTCCTGCCTACTGTGTGCCAGTCACCATTCTAAACACTTTACATCCGTCAGCTCATAGAACCCTCAGGACAACCCTAAAATGTGGGTTCTATTACCATCCGGGTCTAGCATGGTGTATAAAAGCAGGGATCCTGGAGCCAGATTACTTGGATTTTTATTCTAACTCCACCACTTATTTCCTGCGGAAACTTGGTTGTTACTTGACCTGTCTGTGGCTCATCATTCAATGGGAATAACTGTATCAACGTCATAGGGTTGCTATGCAGTTAAATTAAGCGTTCACATACATACAATGTCTATGTATTAGGTACTATTTTCATTTTGTGGTAGCAAAAATTGAGACACACAGAGTTTTGGTAACTTGCCTAAGGTAACACAGCTGAGGAGAGGCAGAGCCAGGACTCATGCAGTCGGGCTCTGCAGTCCATGCTCTTAACCACGACCCTGTGCTGCTCTTACTGAAGGCGGATTTGAGGACCTGGCTTCACGCACACTGAGAAGAGCGTTTAGGTCCCTAGTGCTGGTCCAGGCCGTGATTGAGCCTCTCTTCCCCGAGTGAGCACAGAGCGCGGGGTCTCCCCCGAGGGTGGAAGGGTGGCAGCCAGGCCAAGGAGGCGCGAAGAGCGGCGGCCGCCAAGGGCCCCGGAGCGGCGACTCTTCCTTCCGCCAGTAGGGGGCAGCCGCGGCTGCCGCCGGTGTGTCGGGTGAGCCGCAGCCCAGCGCCGCACGCAGCGCCGGAGGAGCGCCAGAAGGACCCTTGGAGGTCACGCGCGCGCAGGCGGCCCTGACGCCCCGTCTTCCGCCCAAGTCACCCAAGGGTCCGTGCTAATGTGGTGTGGCCCCACCCCATTCCCTCGTCCCCAGCTCTTCCCTAAAGCCCAAGAGGCCAGTTCAAGGAGCTCTAGAACCCAGGTGGTTTGGGCCCCTGCAAGGTTCCGCGGGAGGTGTGGGTGCCAGTCCTGGCTGTGCCACTGCGGTGCTGTGTGACCTTGGGCAGGTCGTTACCCTCTCCAGCCCCAGCTCCCGTCCACTGTCCTTGGGAGGACGCGCGGGCAGCCGACACGTTCTGTGACTGTGGTGAGGGTACCGCCTTCACTGCAGCGTGCCCGGGGCCTAGGCGGGCCAGAGTCGGCCCAGCCCGAGCGAGAGCCTGTCCTGGAACCCAGTGCGTGTGGGGTCCGGACCCCTTTCCCGGAGCACTCGCCGAGCCGGCTGGGAGCGGAGCGCCCGGAGCCCGGCAGGGGGCGCTGCCGCATCGTGCGCGGCTTCCCCGCGCGTCCTCCCAAGGACAGTGTGGACGCGGCGAGCGGCGCGGGGCAGTGCAGGCTGAGTGAGGTCCGGCCGCGCCCACACCAGCGCTGCGGGGCGGAGGTCGGCAACACCGTCTGGGGCGTCGACGGGGCAGGGCGAGTCGTCTGGCGCCCCAGCTGGCCTTTAGCTGGTTTCTGGTTCTGGGTGTGGTTCTGGGTGTGGGGTGACGGGGTGGCGGGGTGGGGATGGGGTCTACCAAACCAGCGCTGGGGGCCCAGGCTTTGCTGCGTGACCTTGAGCGGTCACTGTTCTGTCCGGGCCTCTGCTTCCTGTCTCTGTAATGGGGGGTTCTTGAGGAAACCAATTCATATTGTATGTGAAAGTGCTTCAGGAAATCTGAGGCCCAGGCTGGATGCAAATGGAAAGGCTTCTTCTTTATGGAAAAACAGCCATCTCCTGCCTCACCCAATCCATCCTCCCAGTTCTGCACTCTGATGGCAACCACTTTAGCCACTTTTACCTGTATTTTCTGGCATTTACCCTCATACTTCAAAATAATATGCTCATGCTGCGATTTCTTAATTTACCAACGCTAGACTTTATCTGTTGTCTCCCTGTTAGAATAAATAAGGAATTAGCTGTCTTCCAGCCCCATGCGCATGCCCGGTATATCTGAAGCACTATTTTTAGGTAATTCAGTGATCAGCATTCCTTTTAAGAAAATGTAGCTGTTAGTTTTCCCAAAACCTGTATCAAAACTGCCACGGCTTCTCATCCTATAGCTTCCCGACAAAACCTCCTCTGTCATGTTCGGTATTCTGCCTTGAGGAATGCTCCCTCCCAAACTGCACTACCCAGCTGTCTGCAGGAACCCTCTGGTCCAAGGGTGTCTCTCCAGGATCATTTCATGGTCCTCTGTCTCTATTGGTTTGCTCCCTTCTTTTGAAAACTTTAATTGCTTCCTAAGAAATTGGGCAGGGGTGGGGGAATTTTCATCCATGTGGACTTTTCCGTATTCTGCCCTTGCACTTGATCAATAATTCAGCTAAGCATAGAATTCTGGGTTGGAAATCATTCTCCTTTATACATGGGTGCCTTGCACTGTCTCGAACACCTAGAGTGACCCTTGAGAAGCTTCATGCCTTCTGATTCATGTTCCTTATGTGCAGCTTTTCTTTCTCTCTGGCTGTTTTTGAGGATTTTTTTTTAATCTTTGGAATTCTGGAATTTCACAAAACTTGTCACGTGGTGGCTTTTATCATTCGTTGTGCTAGGCTCTGGGTGGCCCTTTTCAATGTGGAAACTTGTCTTTTAGTCCTGTGAAACTTTATTTTTCCTTAGTAGTCTTCTGTCTGCTTGCTCTCCACAACTCCTGCGAGTTGGAGCTTGGGCCTCCAGCCCTGCTTTTCCTGTGTCTTTTCACTTTTCTGTATTTCCCTTCTGCTTGTCTTTCTCTTCTACTCTCTAGGCTATTTCGTTATATATATGTCCCAACCATTCTACTGAATTTTTAATTTCAGCTATCATACTTGTTCATTCTCTGTTCTTCCTTCCCCCCACCCCACAACATAGATACAGCCTCTGTATTTATCTCTCTGAGGATATCAATAGTGATTTTTTTCCCTCCGGTTTGCTGACTTATCTCTGTCTCCTCCAGCTTCCCTCTTTTGTTTGGTTGCTTTATTGTGGTCTCTCTGTGGTTCTGCATCTCTCCTCCTGTTGGTTGGAGGCTTCTTTAATCTTTACTGGTCCTTGGCTTTTGTCCATAGTTAAGGATAAGTGTCCAAGAAGTTGACTGGCATTGGATGTCTGTGAAGGCAGATGGGGCTGATTTCCCTCTGGGTGGACCAGACAGGACTTGGCCTTTTGTTTTGTGGGGGGGACACATAAATATCAAAAAAGGGGAGTTCTTTTCTTTGGGACTGCCCTGTTTCTTCAGTAAGGTAGGATGGATGTGGTGAAGAGGATGGATTCTGGAGTCAGATCACTTGGGTTTGAATCTCAACTCTGCCACTTTCTAGCTATATGACCATGGACAAGTCACTTAATCTTTCTCTGCCTGTTTCCTATCTGTAAATTAGGCCTAATAAGAATAGTACTGCATGGGTTGTTGAGTTTATTTATGTAAAGTTTTTAACCTGGCATATAGTGATAGGTCTGGAGTCACTGCCATGTTTTTTATAGAGTGGGAAGACGGCTGGGGCAGGGGGATCTGGCTGTTCCCTAAGCAGATTCTCAGTTAATCCTGCTGTTTTCAGCCCTTTCTGGCCTTCAAATCTCATGCCCTTTTCCCCCTCTACAGGCAGTTGCCTTTCTTCTCATTGGTACATCTTCTGCAGGTCTTATCTAACTCAGTAGAAACCAGTTGACTAATCAAAAAAAATTGTTTCAAGCAATAAATCATTAAAAATGATTTTATTTTATTTTGACTGAAAACATACTGATGTCTATTCCATTTTCTTTGAGTATGGACCTGTTAGTTGGAATTCTATAAGGTCTTTCTTGCACAAATCCCAATGCATAAAACATTGTCTACCGTTTCCAGGTTCACCTTTATTGTGCAACTAAAACTTAAAAGGCGCTTATGGAACAATCTGAGTACAGATTCCTTCTAGATTTATGTGATTTCCTCCAAGTCTATTACAACTGCTTGTCTGTAACTCTGATAAACATTTTTTCTTAAATGGCAGTCTGCTTTCATTGAGTCTTTCAAAGTGTCCAACATAGTTTTTCATAAAACAACTCCCTTTTTACAACCATATTTTATTGGCTTATTAATATTAAATGGAATCACATAATTACAAAAGCAAGTGCCACTGGCATAAACAAGTTTGGGAATAAGCAATTGTTTCTGGGAAAGCAGACAGATTAACTGGAAGAGATGTATTCGGGCATTGGAAGGAACAGCCTACCTGACGAGGTTTTCAGCCCATAATGTTTGTAGAGAGACTGGCGAGTGTGGCTCCCCTGAGAATGCTCACCCAGTGTTGGTGGATCATGAAAGCTTAGGTTGTGTTGTGGCTTCTACCACTCACACCTCCATCTCCCTTTAATCTTATAGAAATTTGTTGAACTCTCTCATCCATAAATGACTCCTTTTCCTTTCTTCCTGTCCTTATGGGTTTATATCTTCTCTTTTCCTGTCATTTTAAGGGGAGAGAGTATAGAGAAGGCAAGAAGTTAAGCCTTAAAGTTCAATTTTTATCCAATTCATTTTTATCCAGACAATTTTATCCAGTCTTTTTTATTTAAGACTCCCAATATCCAGTAAGCAGCAGATCTCCACAAAGGTGACAAAGCTGTAACTGACAGAAGCAAGTTTGAAACTCAGGTCTCTCTGAGGTTGTAGTGGATACTGTGGTGTTTCTGTCTAGATCCCCTCTCCAGGGTCGACACAGCAACCGCCACCTGCTGGGGATTTTGGTTGCTGGCTAGTCCTGTGGCAGCCCACTGGAAATTGCCATTGGCTATGGGAACTGCCTCACTCTAGCATACTCTTCCCTTCAGGGGTGGCTGTGACCATGATTGGCTGAGGCAGGGATATAAAAGCCCAACCCTCTTTCCCCAACTTGAGACAATTCTGAGGGGCCACCCTAGCTCCAAAGTTCCATAGAGGATAGACTGAGATGTTGTAATTCATTATGAGTCAGCTTGGCCCCATGCCCAGCTGCAGGTGCGACTCCAAAGAGCACTCTCCAATGAGCCTTCTGCACACAACTCTTAGTTCCAGAGTCTGTCTCTAGGAAGCCCAATATAAGGCAGAGGCCATGGTCTGTGCTCATCCTGGCACCTCTTCGGGTAGTGGAGACTCAGTTCCCAGGCTATTTTGGGGCAGGATTCATTAGCAAGGAGAAGACTATGATAGTGTCTCACACAAGACCAGGAAAGAAAGGAGAGAAGACTCATGTTTGGTATTGAGTAGATGCTCAGGTCATGTCTGTTGTTGGTGATGGCACTGTAGAATGGCCCTGGGTAGGAGGCACCAGGCTTGAATTGTCTAAATAATAAATAACCACCATCCAGGAATTGTAACGTGCTCAGGAGTTTGCATGCCATGTGTGCTTGCATGTTGCTGTGTGATGCATGTGTGACTGCAGGCCCCACCTTACAAATGAGGAATCAAAGGCTTTCTAGGGTCACTTGCCCAGGGAGTGCAGGGCTGGGCTCAGCTGCAGGGTCCTCTGACTGACTCTCCATTCCCTGCTTTCTCAGGTGGCTCTACTGGGCACTAGTGAGTGACCTCAGCTCTGTAGGCTTCAGTTACTCTCTGGCAGGAGAAGTGAAGTCGTTTAATCTGAGAAGCATTCTGGGACCCCCATCAGGGTCTCCTCCCTTTTCCAGTGGTTTCCAAGGTATCGACTGCTGCATCACATTTGAGTCACCATGGGACTGGGGAAACTGTCACAGAAGCAGATCTGGCTTATGGACAGGAAACACAAGGGAGAGATAAGCAACCACTTTCCAGGATAAAAAGCATAAGGAAAGGATCTCCATGGCAGTGTCGGAACTTGTTTGTTTGTTTAGTTTTGATGTTTTTCTTTGCTGACCCAGAGATGATCTTTCCAAGACACACTGATTTCTGGTTGGATATTTAAACAACGGTGTGTGGCATTTCAGAATCAGCATTTCCAGGCTGCTTCTGCTCTGTCTGCATGGCATCACTGGCCTCCATCTGAACAATTGCGACTTCTTCATTATCTCTCTTTTGTTGTTGTTTGGAAATATTTTTATTTTGTCTCTGCTCTCTAAAAAATGTTTTATTATGGAAAATTCAAACTTATACAACAATAGAGAGAATAACATGATGAACCCAATGTACCTGTCAGCGAGTTTCAACAGTTATCAGCCCGTGGCCAATCTTGTTTCACCTGCTGCTGCTCACTATTCTCATCCTAACCTGCCTCCAGGTTGTTTTGAAACAAAACCCAAACAGCATATCATCACATCTATCAATATAATGATGCATTAAAATATATAATTATAATATCATTACCATACCTAAAAATAATAAAAAATTCCCTAATATTATGAAATATATAGTGTTTAAACTTCCTAGGTTAACTTATAATTTTATTTTATTGTTTTACAATTTGTTTGATTCAGGATCCCAATAATTTCATATGTTGCAATTGGCTCATAGTGTCTTTATTTGTTTTTAATGTATATGCTCATCCCTCTTCTTATTTTTCCTCAGCTGTGTATTTATTGAAGAAACTGGGTTGTTTATCCATTTTCCACATTTGGATTTTGCTGAATGAATCCCATGGTGGTGTTTAATGTGTTCATCTGTTCCCTGAGTTTCCTGTATATCACTAGTTGCATCTAGAGGTCTCATCAGATTCAGATTTGATTTTTGGCAAGAACGCCTTGGAGGTGGTGCTGCAAACTTTTACCAAGGAGCACAAACTGCCTAATTGTCATCTCTCTTTTTGTTATTAGCAGCCGTTGATGATTACTGACTAGATCCATTATTTCTTCAGAATTTGCATATTAGTAATATTTATTTATTTATTTATTTATTTATTTTGAGACAGTCTTGCGCCAATGCAGTGGCATGATCACGGCTCACTGCAGCCTCGACTTCCCAGCTCACGTGATCCTCCTACCTCAATCTCCCGAGTAGCTGAGACTACAGGCATGCACCACCAAGGCAAGCTAATTTTTTGTATTTTTTGTAGAGATGAGGTTTCCCCATGTTGCCCAGGCTGGTTTCGAACTCCTGGGCTCAAGCGATCTGCCCACCTTGGCCTCCCGAAGTGCTGGGATTACAGGTGTGAGCCCCTGCACTTAGCTGTAATCGTTTATCATTTTTTTGTTTGTTAGCTGGACTTTTATAAAGGGTAACATCCTTTCATAAACTACTTGGTTAGCCTGAAGTACTGTTCATTCAGGGAAGGCAGGGTAAATGCTTGATTCTCCCTATTTGTTTTCAGTTTTAAAAATAATGAATTTGTTCTCTAGCATTATCCAAAGGTAATCAATGAGATTACTTTGTATCATTATGAACTCATAATGAGTTCATATGGGTTTAAATACATGAGATATGTTTCAATCCATTTCAGTTTTTATCCTTTTTTTTCAGGCTTAATTCACTTTATTTTTCTTAAATAAAAACCCAGGCTTAATTCACTTTATTTTTCTTATATAAAAACCTTTGTTGTAGCCACAGCTGGAGCCTGGGTCCGCGGCATGGAGACTCTGGCGTGGGTCTTGACGAGGTGGTCATTGAATTCCTGATCGGGGGACTTGGTGAATACAGTCTCCTTCCAGAGGTCGGGGGTCAGGTAGCTGTAGGTCTTAGAGATGGCATCAAAGGTGGCCTTGGTGAAGTTGCCCAGGGTGGCAGTGCAGCCCCGGGCTGAGGTGTAGCAGTCATCGATACCAGCCATCATGAGCAACTTCTTGGGCACAGGCACCGAGACGATGCCAGTGCCCCTGGGTGGAGGGATGAGGCACGCCAGCACAGAGCTGCAGCAGCCTGTCACCTTGCAAGGGACGGTGTGGGGCTTGCCGATCTTGTTCCCCCAGTAGCCTCTGCGCACGAGGACAATGGAGAGCTTGGTCAGGATGATGGCTCCACGGATGGCAGTGGCCACCTCCTTGGAGCACTTAACACCCAGACCGACGTGGCCATTGTAGTCCCCAATAGCAACAAATGCCTTGAACCTGATGCGCTGGCCAGCACGGGTCTGCTTCTGCGCCGGCATAATCTTCAAAACCTCCTCCTTGAGAGAGGCCCCCAGGAGAAAGTCAATGATCTCGGATTCCTTAATGGGCAGAGAGAAGAGACAGATCTCCTCCAGGGACTTGATCTTCATGTCCTTGACCAAGTGGCCCAGCTTGGTGACGGGCATCCACTTCTTATCCTCAGCCTTGCCTCCATGAGCTCCGCGGTCTCAGCCCCAGCCACGTCCATGGCCGCGACCCCGGCCCCGGATGCCACTGCCGAAACCTCCGCGGAACCCAATGCAGTTCCCCATCCCAGGGTCCCCAGGGCCTCCCCCTCGCCCCGCTGCACCGGCGTCATCCACCATTTGGTGCTTTCTCGGAGAAGCTCAGTTTTTATCCTTATTGACACTCAAATTATCCTGTTTTTGGCCAATGGAAATCTCTTCAACTTGGCTTCTGAGCCCTTTTGATTATTATCCCAGTAGTCTCTGCTAGCTTCCCTGCTTTCTAGAATGACAAGATGTACCATTTTGTACATTTCCTGCCCCAGAACTGCAATCTGCCTCTCTGAGGAACCTTTGTGTTTGTTTACTGGGAAATGGTATTTAGAGGCCACAGTCTGGGTACTAGGGGTTATCTTTTTAAGATCATATTTGGTACATACGAAAGAGTATATGTATTATTTATGTAATTATGAAGCATAATAGTAACATGGCTGCCTATCAGCCACAACCCAACTGAAGAATTGGAACATTATCAACAAGAGGTATGTGCTCCTCCTTTAACTGAATCCTCAGACTCCATCCAAGAGGGTGAATTGTGTATTTATTATTTTCTTGCTTAAAAAAAGCTTTATCACATATGTATGTATTCTTAAGTATACATGTTTAGCTTAGTTTGTTTTTGAGCTTTGTAAAATTGATATAATATTTGTTGTCTTCTGGACCTGTCTTGTTTTTACCAATGTATTTTTCTAAGATTTATCTATTTTTTTAAAGCTGTAGTTCATTTATTTTCGATGCTGTATAATATACCATTATAATATACAATGCTGTATAATATACCAAAATAAATATACAATTTATTTTATCCATTCTCCTGTCTGTGGACATTTGAGTTGTGTTCAGTTTTTGCTACTACAAATATTTAGCCAAGAGAGTGCTGTTACAGGCCTCCTTGTTCACAGCCTCAGAAGAATGTGCAGGAGTTTGTGTGGGGCAGTGGTTATCGAACATTTTAGTCTCAGGATCCCAAAGAGCTTTTGTTTATGTGAGTTATATCTAAATATATTCACTATATTAGAAATTAAAGCTGAGAAAAATGTATTTATTAATTCATTTTAAAATGATTAAGAAACTCATTATATGTTAACATAAATCACACACTTTAAATGAAAAATAACTATTTTCTGAGACAAAATAAATAGAAAAGAGTGATGTTGTTGACGTGTTTGAAAATTTCTTTAATGTCTGGCTTAACAGAAGACAGCTGAATTCTTGTATCTGCATCCATGGTCAATCTGTTGCAATATCATCCATCATGCATCCTCTGAAAAATACTGTGCACCTGTGAGACAAGAGTAAAAAAGTCAAATAATACTTTTCAAATATATTATGAAAATAGTTTTGACCTCATGGATCCCCTGAAAAAGTTTCAAGTCCCTGGACCACAATTTGAGAATTGTTGCTCTGGAGAATACTGGTCTAGGGGTGAAATTGCTGGGTTATAGGGTCGCAGAGAACATATGCAAATGTGTGGCTATGTAAGATAATGCCAAATCGTTTTCCAAAATGGCCGTAGTAATTAATACTCCCACCACCAGTGTCTGAGAATTTCCACTGCTCCATATCTTCCCTAACACTTGGTGTTATTAGACATCCTAATTTTGATCCATCTAGTGAATGTGAAATGGCATTTCATTGTGACCTATTTGTGTCCCAGTTTCTTCCCATTTTAATCCATTCTTCTCGGCCTGCCAGATTAATCTTTCTATGAAGATATTTTGGTCATGTTATACTTGGTCTTCTTCAAAAACTTTCCCTCAACAGAATAGGAGCAAGTTTATCATCCTTCCTTTCAAGGTGCTTTACTCCAAAGGCTGAAATCACTTGGCAGTATTTCCTCTACAGCCTACTGGTACCATAGATTCCAGGCAAATGGAAATATCTACTTTACCAAACAGGCCCTGAAATTTCCCTCCTCCGTGTTCTTGCTCATGTTATCTTTCTACCTTGAATCCCCTCTGTATCCCACATCTGCCTGTTGGAGACCAGTCATCTCTCGTGACCGCTCAAATACTACCTCTTTCAAGAAAACTGCCTGCATCTTTCCCTCCCCTGAACCCTCACCACACAAGGCTTGTCTCTGCTTTGTCCCTCTACTGCACACCACCTTGGGTTCTTGTTATGAGTGTCCAGTGGCTCCTTGAGATCAGAGACTGTGCATTTTCCTTCTTGTATTCCCCACAACCCCTAATATTGGGAGTGGAATAGAGTGGGTGCTAAAAATCTAGTTGTCAATGTCTCTGTTTTACATAGGAGGAAACTGAAGCTTGGCCAGATTAAGAGCTCAACGGGCTTTCTCTAGAGCTGGGGAATCAGGATCCTAAGTTAAGACAGAGCAATACAAGGTGTTCTCTGATGAAAGATTTTACAGCTGATTTATCAAATGAGGGACCAGAGAGGAAGAACGGTGAGGGCTCAGAAGAGGGAGGGGACTGGGGCAGGCAGGGCGGGCTTCTTGGAGGCAACAGAGCTTGGAATGAGCATGGGAAGACAGGGATGTGGATGAATGGAATGGAGGTGCACTGTGCCTGGTGCTGTAGGGAGGAGAGACCTGGGCCTGAAACACCAGATTAAAGGATTTGGGTTGGATCCCAAGGCACAGTGTCTGTGTGAATCCTTAGAGCCAGGTCTCACTGCCTGCCGTAGCCAGCAAGGGGCTGGCCTGGCTGGGGCAGAGACACAGGGACAGCAAGAAATGAAGTGGGAGGGCTCAGGGCCTGCAGCATGTACTGCAGCTCCCATGCCAGCTGCAGAGGACTGGGCCCACCTAGAGGCCCTGGGGGAATCTGGGGGCCCCTCTATTTTCCTTCAGAGGAGAGGTGTTCTGCGGGATCTTTTCTGGGCCAGGGGCTTCTAGAGACTTCAGAGGTGACCAAGGTCTGCCCATGGCTGTGGCCTTTTTTTCTCCCCCACTGCCGTCTGGGCTCCATCCCTGCTCTTCTTAAGACACTGGTCAGCCTCTCTCCTTCATCCTTGGTCTCCTTCTCTGTTTATCCAGGTACAGAGGGGCTGTGTTGCCAGTGTTTGGGATTTCCATTTGGTCATGGGCTGAACTAATCAGATGGGGGCCTGCTTAGTTTCTGACCAGAGGGGTTCACCTCATCCAGGTAAGGAGACTTCCCCATAGGCCTGCTCAATTTTCAGCACTGAGTTTGGGGCCAAAGCTTCTGTTAAAAATCAGTGTCACTTAACTTTCTATTTTCTAATTATTGTCCTGGTTACTTTCTTTACTCAAGGACTTGAAGAAGGTGAAGGCAGGGCAGGTTTGGGCATAATAACCTTCAGTAGCACTTGGGTTCACCCGGGTTTCTAATAGTGTCCCCTGACCCATCAGGATAAACATGCTCAGTGCTTATTCAGGTGGGCTCCAAATCTCACTGAGGCCTTGGTCTCACTTTGCTGAGAAGAGATTTTCATCATCATCATCGTCATCATCATCATCATCATCATCATCATTATCACCACCATCATCATAACCTTCAAATAGTTTCCATTTACTGAGCACACCTGTGTGGACCAGGTCTTGTGTTAGGTACTTTATGCCCAATAGGTGATGGGATCCTTGAATAACTGTGCAAGGCAGGTGTTAGCATCCCTGGAGAAGGACAGGTGAGGAAATGGAGGCTCAGAGAGGGGAAGTCAAAGTCACACAGCTGCCAACTGTGTGAATAGAAGGTAATGCCCAGTGCTTCCAGCTCTTGGTGCAGGACTGTCAGTGGTGTCACCAGAGCAGAAGTGTCACCATCCCATGGCTAATGTGGTCTTGGGCTTTTAGGGAGAAATTGAGGCAAACAGCAGGTCTAGTTCAGTGTCTAAGTTTGTAGACTTGGCTGGCCTATTCAAACCCTTGGCCACCATCAGAGCCACCTGCCCTCCTCTCAGGGTGCTGTTTCCTGCCTTGAGGGAGCCTCTGGGTTCTGCTAAATTAATTGTGTATGAAAGCAGAAGGAGCTGATAGGGTCTGTGGGACCTGTGTGATCCAGGGCTTGCCACCTGGCCTCCTTGGTGTCAAGGAGAGGGGGGATTTGAACTCAGTTCTCTATGGGCTGCTAAGAGTTTTGTAATGGTAGTGGTGGCAGCATAAGATGGTGTGTGTTGATTTCACATGAATAAGGGCTCTGGGCAATTCTGGCATGCAATGATTCAGGCTGTTTGCAGGAGACAGATCAGGGGAGGTTAAACCAGCTGGAGATGTTACATTTACCAAAGGACATGACACAGAAGAGAAATAAAGGGTGGGTTCTCAGGAGGGATGGCAGGTGGTGGCAGAGGCAGCACCTAGCAAACAGCTGTTGGGCACCTGCTCCATGCCAGGCTCTGGACTGGTCTCTGTGCTGGTTTCTGAGGCCCCAGCTATGGAGCTGACCTATGTTCACCCTTGGGGAGCTCAATCAGGGAAGACAGACATCCTGAAGGATACCAGTTGTGTGCTATGCTCTCTTAGGATGTGGAGTTTGCATTCTTAAGAAATCTTGTATTATAAAAAATTGAATTATAGAGACAATTGCTTCAATGGGGAAAATGAGGTTAGGGGTTTGAGAGTGTCAGACGCCATAAAAATGTTATTTTTCCTTCAGGAATGTCAATAATAAAGGTGCTTTTACAGCTATAAGTGTATGGCTGTAAAAGATGAACATCACAGAGCAAATCCAGTTTTAGACTTCCTCATGATTTTGTTCAAGAGGAACAGCCTTTTTTCCCCTGTCACCCAGCACTATCACTAGCTCAGACCTCCAATCACCTTGACAATCCTCTGCTGGAGTAACAAAGCATCGAGTCCCTCTAAGGAGGCATCCTAAAGACATCAGGACACGCCTTCTTCAGCGCCTACCATCTCCTTCTCTAGTTCACCTGTAGCAGATTCCTCCCCTCCACTGTGTTATAACTAACTGTGATCTGCTCAGTGTAAATTGCGCTCTTTAATTAAAGGATCATATTGTATTTAATTTGCACTGAAAAATCCCACCATAGGAGAAATTCTTGGAGGTTATGAGAACATTAATGGTGGTATGTAGAGGCAGTGTCATGTCACAATTAAGGGTGGGGCCTCTGGAGCCAGTCTTCCCAAGGTGAAATCCTAACTTTGCCACTTACTAGCCATGTGAACTTGGGCAAGTGACCTAATCCTCTGCATTTCATCTCTAAATTGGGGAGAATAGAAGCATCTACTTCATGTAGTAGCCAGGATTAGAAGAGGTAATGATTGTGGTGGCTCACTGCAGAGCCTAGCACATGATTAGCACTCAGTAAATGCCAACTATATCACAGGGCAGAGAGAGGAGGGGTCTATTTTAGCCTGTAGTGTGGGGTGTCTGTGAAGGAGGAGAGATTGGAGCTGGACTTCAAGGGTGGTTGACATTGGACAGGAGGATGAAGCAGAGGGAACAGAGAGACATAGCAAAGCTCTTTTGAAGTCCCCGAAGGAGTCGGGAATAATGGGATGGCTGGGTCAAATGGTATTTTTAGTTCTAGATCCTTGAGGAATTGCCACGCTGTCTTCCACAATGGTTGAACTGTTTACAGTCCCACCAACAGTGTAAAAGTGATCCTATTTCTCCACATCCTCTCCAACACCTGTTGTTTCCTGACTTTTTAATGATTGCCATTCTAACTGGTGTGAGATGGTATCTCATTGTGGTTTTGTTTTTCATTTCTCTGATGGCCAGTGATGATGAGCATTTTTTCTTGTGTCTGTTGGCTGCATAAATGTCTTCTTTTGAGAAGTGTCTGTTCATATCGTTTGTCCACTTTTTGATGGGGTTGTTTGATTTTTTCTTGTAAATTTGTTTGAGTTTTTTGTAGATTCTGGATATTTGTCAGATGAGTAGATTGCAAAAATTTTCTCCCATTCTGTAGGTTGCCTGTTCACTCTGATGGTAGTTTCTTTTGCTGTGCAGAAGCTGCTTTTCACGCTACTCACTGGGCCTTGGGCTAGAGGTAGGAAATGAGGAATATTTCAAGGGAGTCATCTTGCTTTTAGCCACCACTGAAAATTGGAATTAATTTCAGCACTTATTTAAAAGTACAGATTTGTAGAATCTGTCCAAACCATCTGAATCAGAATCTGCATGGGCAGGATCTGGGGATCAGTATGTTTAAAAATCTTTAGAAGTGCATCTCATGCAGCCAGCCCATAGGAACACCATGGTGAAGGTCCATATGTTCCTTCCTCTCCTCTTATAAGAACAAGATAAACTGGACAAGGAGGGGATGAGTGATGTGGCTCAGAGGAGCAAAAACTAGAGGGGCTTAGCTTCATTATCTGTGTGATTTGGAGCAAATTGCTTCCCCTCTCAGAGCCTTGTTTCCTCATCTGAAAATTGGGATTTATGATAACTTTTGCAGCATGGGGTTGTTATGAAGAATAATTTATTCCCTTCTCCTATGTTTAGGGCCCCTCTCACAGAGGGAAGTGAAGGCTTCAGGAGGGTGGGGGTTCAGGCATTTTCCTTGTATTCCCCAAAGGGTTGAAGTGGATAGTCCTGTGGATGCTTGTTGACAGGGCATCCCTTCCTCTCCATCTTCATAGTCACGGTGAGGCCTAATTCTCTGCCACCTGGGTATGGCCCCAGCCTCTTTGTCGGTCTTGCCGGACCCTCCCAGAGGCTCTGTAGTGGGGAAGCTTGGCCCTTCCCAGTGGCTCCTTCTAAAAACTCCATGAAGTGGGCACTCTCTGGCTTGGCTACCCACTTGCCTCGGAGGCCTCTACAGTTCTGGGCCAGCCCCCAGCTGGCTGGCTGGGACTTCCTCCTAGCTTGATTTCTTCTAATGTCCCAATCCAGGCCTCCAAAAGAGCTAATGAGGAATAATACAGACTTTGGCCTGGATGTCAACTCCAGAGATTCTTGATTTCTACTTTGTAACAGAGTGGGCTGAGAGGAGGTATTAATATTTGGAATCCTAGTTGAGTGACCCGAAGCAAGTTTTTAGGGGCCTGAGATTCCTCAGTGCCAAATGGAAGATGCTAGGACTTGTAGGATTCTGTGAAGATTAGAAATACCACAGATTCAGTGCCTGAAAAGAGGAGTTGTTCACCTAATGGTAGCAAACCTTGTTACTTGGGTACACACCCTCCCCACTAAGATGGGAGCTCTTTGAGGGCAGGGACTGTGCTTTTGTGTAATATAATAGTTCTAGTTTACTGAGCACTTTCTGTGAATTGGGCTGAACTTTTATGGGGTTAACGATTACACTTACCTCATAGGTTGTGTGTGGGTTAAATGAAGAAGACTGTGCCCATTTTACAGATAAGGCAACTGAGGCTCAACCAGGTTAATGCTCTTTGTTTGCAGTTTTGTCTTTCTCTGTCCCTGCATAGGGCCTCTCACATACTTGAATGACTCTGAGATTGTAGTACCTAGTATGGACATGATGGGCATTTTGGAAGGGACCCAGGCTTCCCTGCCCCTTTCCTTTCCCTGTCCTGGCCTCCCTGGCAGGAAGGGAGGTTGTGAGCTTGTTGCTGGGCTGGCACTGAGGGAGGGCCTCAAAAGTCTGGGAGCCAAGTGCAGGGAAGAGGAAACCCATCAGAGGCCCTACCCTTGGTGGGGGGACATTCCAAAGAGCCAAGGAGCAACCTGGGAGAGGTTGAGTCATATTAAAGTGGACACCTGGGGGGTAGGGTGGGGATGGCAGTGGATATGCACATAAACCCACCTCTGCTCTGATCAGCAGAGTTTGCTGTTAATGGCTTTGGTTGGCAGAGAGGCTTGGTTCTCCCTTTGTCTCTTTCTAATTGTGTCTCTTACTGTTCTATTTTTTCTTGGTTTTCTCCAGTGATGAAGCTATACTTGTTTCATTTTCCAGATGGGGCCACTTGAGGGAAAAGACCTACCCAAGGGCACATAATCTGTACATGAGAGAGAGCCAGATGTAACAGACTGAGTACTGGACTTGGGGTTAAACAGACTGTGAATCTTTCCACCCCATTGGCAAGTTACCTTGGACAAGTTACTTTAATCTCCCTGAGCCTCAATCTGCTCATCTTTAAGATGGAAGTCTTAATAATCTCCTCATAGGGGATTAAACAAGAACATGAGCACACCTTTTCTAACACAGTGTCTGAGATGAGTAGATGTTCAAAATAGGGGTTCATTTGCTTCTTTGCTCTTTGGCTCCCACCTTTTTTTCAACTGCCCCAAATCTCTTTCTGCTCACCTTTTCTTGTTCCATGGGGTCTTTACACCACCGTGTTAGCATGTGTTTCTGCTACATGGTTACTTCTTTTCTAGAAGCAAGTGAGTGAGGGAGGGCCCAGTGGGCAGCTCAGAACTCAGTAATAAAACCACACAGAATCCATCTCAAACAAAACGGCAGATTGGCAAGAGTGACCTGCATGTAGTTTTTGATTTCATTTACAGTATGCAAGGACTGTGGGAGGACAACTGGAGGGGAGTCAGGAAATGGGGGTTCAAGTCCATGGAGTGGCTATGTGATGCTGGGCTGGCCCCTTTTCCTCTCTGGGCCTCAGTTTCCCCATGTGACAATAAGGGGTCAGGCCAGGGAATATTCTGACACTCTGAATTTTTAATTTTATTCTAATTATATGTTTCAGGGAGGAATAACTGGGCCCTGGATAGAATGTGATGAATGTATATTCTTAATGAGAAGTGGAAATAATTTGTGGTTGAGAGCTGTGCCTCAGATCAGAGTGACAGGATACATGGCTAGGCTATATTTTCCAGCAGATTAAGAGCTGCGGCCCAAGACTCTGAAATATGAAGAAAAAAGGAGAAGATGACAGCATATCTTTTTAAAGAAATATTTTCCAGCCAAATGGTGTAGCAGAGGACTTCCAGGAATTTGTTCTTGTTCTGTATCAAAGGTGAAGAGTTCGTAGCCTTCAAGGAAACAAGAAACCATGGGATGGAGTGAAGGAAGGTGGCCTGGAACCAGCTGCTGAGCCTCTCTGAGCCCCAGTTTCCTCGTCTCTAAAATGGGGCTGATCTCCTCTCCCTCAGACTGTTGTTGCAGGAATTAAAACAGGTGTTGAGTGGGAAAGCATCAGTCCCATAGCAAATGGCCCCTGAGTAGTAGGATCTGAGTTCTGGTTCTGGTCCTGCTGGGGTATGGCTGGTTGAGAGGTCAAAGAGGTAATTAAAGGGATTGCCAGCTTCATTATTGGGAGCTGAGATTCCATTTTAGACCAAGAGTGTGACCAAGGTGGTAACCTTAACATTTCATTTCTTCATATTTATTTATTGAGCCGATATTTTTCAAGCATTTGTCATGTACCTAGTATTTTGTTGCTGCTAGGGTAGACAACAGCCCCCCCGCCAGCCCCTGCCACCACAATGTAGAAAGTACCTCCACATCCATAGGCCCCTCTCTACCCTGGTCCGGCCCACCCAGCCACTTCCTGAGTAGAGAATGGGGCACAGCATCCCTAACCTCCCTGTTCCCCATCCAGACAAGCACATCCTATCTATTCTGTCTCCTGATGTCATTCACACTGTCCCTTCTCCTGCAGCACCCCATGTTTGGCTTTCCATGTCACCTTCCTCACTGCCTTTCCAATCCAGGTCCCACATAGCAGCCAGCGTGGCCCTTCTAAAACACAAACCATATCACTCCCTTCTTCAAAACTCTCCAATGGCTCCTTTCTGCCCCTCCTCAGAAAGGAGACAGCCCTTTGCGTGGCTTAGCAGGACCCTCACAACCTGGCCCTGCCCCTTAGCCTCATCACACATAGCGTCTTCAGAGCACACCTTCCCTGGCAGTGCAGTTCATCTGTTTCAAGCTTCTGTGACTTTGCTGGTGGAAAACCACCTAGCCATGCTAACTCCTTTTCTCAGCTATAGAAAGAGTCTTGGAGGAAGGAAGTGACCATCCAAGATCACATGTGAAATGTGATACAGGCCCTTTTTTATCAGTCTGCTCAGGCTGCCATAACAGAATACTACAGGATTAAACCACAGAACTTAATTTTCTCACAGTTCAGGAGGCTGCAAGTCCAAAATGGAGATGCCATCAGGGTTGGTTTCTGGTAGGGCCTCTCTTTCTGGTTTGTAGATGGCACCTTCTGGTTGTGTCCCCACAGGGCATTTTTCTCTGTGGGTGCACACTCCTGGCATCTCTACCTCTTCTTAGAAGGATACTAGTCCTATTGGATTAGGGCCCTATACTTATGACCTCATTTAACCTTAATTAGCCCCTTAAAGGTCCTATTTCCAAGTAAAGAAAGTCACACTGGGGATTAGAGCTTCAACATATGAATTCTAGGGGGACAAAATTAAGTCCATAATACCCTTCTTGCTGGAGATCTGAGGCCAGCACACAGAAAATGGTTCAGGGGCGAGAGCAGCTCATGTGTGTCCTGTGGAGCTAATGTGGCAGGGGTGCGAGGAGGAGCTTGGCGGTTAGAGAAGGAAAGGTAGACGATTGAGACAGCCAGAGATGAGAAGGGGAGGGTCCTGTGGCCTGGAGAGAAGGTAAGAGCAGCCTGTGCAGGGGTGTGGGGCCTATACTAGGAGTGAACACACAGGTTGGGCTATGGAGTGGGGGTAAAGGAGAGGCTGGTGAGTGCAGGTGGGGAGCATGTCTCCTTGTCTGCAGAGCAGGTGGTCACTAAAGGCTGCCTTTACTGTATGAGCTCAGCACCTCTCACCCGGTCCTCACATCACTCTTGAATGTAGGGATGCACACCTCTATTTTTGGGAAGAGGTAAATCCAGTTCCCTAATTGCCTGGCAAGTAGCAGAACCAGGACCTCAATACAGGGGTCCTGATCCCCAGGCTGGGGCCTATTTTCATCTCAGGGTCAGGGGTAGGGTAAGGCAAGTGAAGCACCAAGGAGGCACTTGCACAATCTGGAGGGTGGGGGCCTCCTTAAATTTTGTGCCCTAGGCACCTTGCTCATCTCACCCTAGTCCTGACCCTGACTGGCCTCCTCCTCTGTGGCGACTGCTCTCTTCTCTCTAATCTGTGCAGCAGAGGCAATAGGCTGCAAGTAGCTGCAGTCAGGCTTGGCTTTGCTCCTAACCAAGTGGGAGGCATAAAGTTAATGGCCCTACAGGTCAAATCAATTCAGGTAAAGTTATCACCCTTAGTTTTTCCTGCCCACCTTCATAGCTAGCCATGCAGTGTTATCTGTTCTCACTCATCTTTCTTGGTTCATGTAGCTCCTAGGCCCACTTTCAGCCACTAGCACTTTTTACCCTCTAGCACCTCGGTTTCTCCATCTTCCAAATGTGGATGATAATGATGATTATGCTAGGGATGGTGGTGGTGATAATTCATATGTCATAGGGTTGTATGAGAATAGGTGTATACAGTGAGTATTATAAAAGTGTTAGCAGATATTAATTCCAATTTTGCCTCACTCCTGCTCAGCGTTCAAAGAATTTTCACACCAAGTTCTCACTGTGGCCTGGAAGGTGGGAGGACAAAAATTAGTATACCCCCTTTAAAGAGGAGGCAAGGAGACTCAGAGAGGCCTTGGGACTTGCTCAAGTCACACAATCAAGAGATGGCAGAGCTAGGTCTGGCATAGAACTGAGGCAGTGTTGGTGGAAAGTGGGGGGGACCCCTCTCTCCTCACTCTGCCCCATGGCCTAGGCAGCTGTTGTCAGAGGCCAGGAGGAACTCAGGACTCATAGCTGGAAACTTGAGTTCAAGACCTAGCGGGAATGAAGCAAAATTGCAATTAATAACTGCTAGCACTTTTATAATACTTACTGTATGCATCTATTCTCATAAAACCCTATGACATATGAATTATCACCATCATCACTATCATAATCATTGTTGTTATCCACATTTGGAAGATGAAGAAACTGAGGCGCTAGAGGGTAAGTAGCTTGCCTAAGGCCACATAGCTAATAAATGGTAAACTGAGTTCAAACCCCTACAATCCAGCTCTAGATCTGTGCCCTTAACCACAGTGCTATTTTTTTCCTCTGGGTCTTTTTCTACCTATTTTTGAATGTTAATTAAGAATGGTAAGTTGCTTACTAAGGGCCCGACAATTTACATATTTTTTTATTTGATCATCCTGAGATGATAGAAATTATTCACCCATTTTGCAGATGAAAAAGTTGACACTTAAAAAGGGGCTTATAACTAGTAAGTGGAGGCTCAGGACTCAAGCCTAGCTCTGTCTAGTTCTAAAATAACAACAATAGTAATGACAATAATGATAATATTTATATTAGTAACAGTTACTGGCCAGACATTACACTCAGAGTCAAGAGTGCATTGTCTCTGGTCTCTAATTTGTGTGTGACCTTTTACCTGCTGCTTTTTTTTTTTTTTGAGATGGAGTCTCTCTCTGTCGCCCAGGCTGGAGTGCAGTGGCACGATCTCGCTCACTGCAAGCTCCGCCTCCTGGGTTCACGCCATTCTCCTGCCTCACCCTCCCGAGTAGCTGGGACTACAGGCACCCGCCACCATGCCCAACTAATTTTTTGTATTTTTTTTTTTTTTTTTAGTAGAGGTGGGGTTTCACCGTGTTAGCCAGGATGGTCTCGATTTCCTGACCTCGTGATCTGCCTGCCTCAGCCTCCCAAAGTGCTGGGATTACAGGCATGAGCCACTGCGCCTGGCTTACCCTCTCCTCTTAGGATCTCACATTGTGGTCTCTGGTTCTGAGGCTCCTCCATCCCTGGCAGGTGGTGATTCACCAGGGTTGGCAGTTTGAGGACAGCTGATTCCCTCAGATGGAGGCATTTGTTATCTGTACATTGGAAATTATTTTTGTGTCCCAACCTAATTAGGGAACCAACATAATTAAAAAAAAAAGCCATCCTGGAAAATGAATTGCTCTTCGAAACAATTGTTTAGACAAAACACCATTTGTTCCCAGCTTTTGCTCCCTGCTGAAATGGCGGGCCACTTGTTTTGGTGACAGATGCCTTTTGCCTGGGATTTTGGAGCATGAGGAGCTGAGTGGGGTGAGGGTGGGGACTGGAGCTGGCCCACTCTCAGTTGGCCTCTGAGGGGAAAACCTGAGGTCCCCTGGAGGTGGGATACTCTAATCACTCTGCAACCAAGAGGGCCCCAGGCCTCCCAGGAAAGTCTGACCCGTCAGTCCTGATGTTGCGCTATAGACTTTGATTCAGAACTGAAGTCCAGAGAGGCACAGTGACTTGCCCAAGGCTGCTCAGCAAGATGATGGCAGAACTACAACTAGAATCCACATCCCTTCATTCTTTCCATGGTGGCATGTGGTCTTCTGAATTGGTGATGTTACCTCACCTGACTTTCGTATCTGATATCCAGCCTATCTGCTCATACTTGAGGCTTGTTGGGAATTACTAACTTCTTGTGTCTTGCCACTGACCCTAAGAAATTTGGGTTTCTCCCTGGCACTGTTGCTCTGTGGACTGGAAAGATCCCAGCGGGGCTAGAGCTGGTAATGTGACCCAGCAAACAACTGTTCAGATTCAGGCAGAATAAGAGGGGCCTTCAGTCAAGTATAATGGTTTTTGTCTTGGTCATGTGACTTCCTTTCTTGTGTGTAATTAGTGGGCACCTCCATTCACTTGTGCGTTTTGATCTCAGATTCCTCATTTATAAAATGGGGCAGTATTCTCTGTTCTCCATATTCATTTACAAGGGCACTGTGAGAATCAATTATGTGAAGAAATAAAAAGTACTTGTGAACTAAAGAGTGATATAAAAATATAATTAACAATAATGGCCAATATTTACCAAGTACTTTATATGTGTGTATTAGTTGAAGTAAAGTGCTTGCTGCTGGAGCACACAACCTTCAAACCCCAGCGGATTAAACAACAAAAGTTTATGTCTTAACCACCATAGTCAGTGGTAGACCAAGTGACTCTTGGGAACAGATCTTTTCTAACTTTACCTTCCTGGATTCTTTCACTTTCACCCTCATTGACAAGGGCAAGAGAAAAGTATGGAAGATTGTACGGGAGGTTTAGGGGCCAAGGCTGGAAGTGGCATGCCTCACTTCTGCCCACATTCTACTGACCAGAATTCAGACTCTTGGTTCCTTAAGGCAACTGTGTGCCTAGGAGGAAAATAAACCTATTTGGTGGACACATGGCATTTTATCAGCTACAATGTGCTATGCAACTTGTTAGTGCTCATAACAATTCTCTAAATGATTTTATTATCCTTTTTTAAAAATCTGGGGAAAGAAAGGCTCAGAGAGATCAAAAGACTTAGAGAAGATGCCAAATTAATGGAAGGGTGGTGGTCTGAATTCAGTCTGTCCAGCTACGCAGTCCCTGCTTTTTTTTTTTGTTTGTTTAAGAAAGAACTTCTAGTTGTAGGTGGAACAGTTTAATTCATTTTATTTGTTGAATGCCTACTATACACTGAACACTGTGCTATCTCCTGAACAATGTCATGATGATTCCTTTTCCTCTTCCCCATGCTGAGATCACATTTTTTCTTCAGCAATTTTATTCTTTCTAATCTTTAAGGTTCAACTTCAGACTGTTGCTTTAAGGAAGTTTCCCCTGTTTACCCACAAAGAAGCACTCTTTTTAAAACCTCTCTTGTGCTAGCCTCAATTCCAGGAAATAGTGTGAAGGACAGAGTGAAGTGCAGAGTAGATCATTGCCCCTGCCCCCAGCTAGGAATTGACACCTAAAGTTTACTGCTTGAAAAAAAAAGGCACAAAGTCTTTACATTTTAAACAGACTAAGAGTCATGGTGCCCACCTTCTCACAGGACTGGCTGAGGGGCTCCTGGTTTTAAAAACCAGCCCTACTCTGACCTCTTCTCCCTAGAAGAGGAGAAAAAGCTGTTACCTCCTCTCCCATTTCCCTGGGAGAAACAAAGGATTGAACTTTTTCCCAAGGAAAAGTAGACTGACATTGTGTTTCTTCAT